>NC_000001.11:209548223-209699738 GCF_000001405.40 Homo sapiens
CTAGATTTATTGAGAAACACCTAATTAAGCTCCAGAGTAAACTAGCCATCGAGGTGTTTAATTGGCAGCATGTGACTATTAGGGGCTAATTAAGTTGTTCCCTCGTACTTTAATTAATGTTTGTCATTTGGCCTCTGTATAGCTGGTGCAAGGTTAAGGAAAACAGAAGGGACCTGCCGGCCAGCCCCTAGACCAAGTTACTAGCTGTCCCCAGCACCAAGGAGGGCTGAGCAGATGGGACAGCATGTGGGGCATGAAGTTCGTTCACTGTCCAAGCCTCAGAAGTTACTTTGAATGTACCTAATGAACAATTATTGAGCCTCAACTCTGTGCCAGCCAGGCAGGGAGACAGAGAGGGTAGGAGAGAGAATCTGGTGAAGCCTAGGTTCAAATCCCACCTCTGCCCCTCCCTTGTTGTATAATCATGTGCCACCAGGCCTTTCTGAACTTCAATTTTCTTATCTGTAGGATGAAACCAAGAAACACCTACCTCATACAGCTATTGTTTTAAAATGGAAATCAGATATGATTTCCCAACTACTCAACTCTGCTGTTGTAGCACGCAAACGGCCATAGAGAACATGTAAGTGAGCGGTTGTGGCTGCATTCCAATAAAATATTTCTGCATACTGAAATTTGAATTGATATAGTTTTCATGTGTCACAAAATATTCTTCTTTGGATTTTTTTCTGCCATTTAAAAATGTAAAAGCTATTCTTAGCCCGTGGGCTATATAAACTTAGTCAAGAGACCAGAATTTTGTCCGTGAGCTGTAGTTTGCTAACACTTGGGTTAGACAAGGGGAAGAAAAGGATAAAATACTGTGGCTTGCAAGTGAGGTTTAAAATATGATGCTACAGATTAAATCTCATAAATGTTTATGGAAAATGGCAGGAACTAGATGGGACTGTGGCTGTCAGGGAAGGCTTTGGGGAAGAGGCGAGACTTAGGCTAACTGCTGAGACATAGGAAGCAGCAGGCTAAGTGGAGGATAGGAAAGCTTCCCAGGCATAGAAAATAATAGTAGTAGTAATAATAACAACAGCTTACTAAGTGTATATGATACGGCAGGCTCGGTTCTTAGTGTTTTGCAAGCATGGTTTAGCTTAATCCTTGTAGCAACCCTACTAGGAAGTACATTTTATCCCCCTCTTAAAAAAAAGACCAGGGCCAAGAGGGTTAATAATTTGCCCATATCTGCACAGTCAGCGGCAGAGTCAGAATCTCAGCCTAGGATGTCTGCCTCCAAAGCCCACCCTCCCTCCTACTATTCCTCCTCCAGCAACCCCTTTGATCTCGGTCCCCTCCCATTTCCTATGATCAGATGCTGCCATGTCCCTGGTGTGCCTGTATTCACGTAAATAACCATTTCCTAAATACACTCAATGAAAAATCAATTACATAGCAAAGTGGCTGAGGTTTGGATAAACAATCTAATTGTTCCCTCTGGGGCTGCAGGCTGAGCAGTCCCTGCTGAGAGAAGAAAGAGCGTTAACATTTATTAAGAGCTCCGCCTCAGGCACCGATATGTTTTCTTCCTCCTTGACCACTAGGGGTCTGAGCCCATTGGCCAAGCCCCCTACAGAATCCCAGGGAAGCTGCTGGTCTCATACCACTGGTAGAAGGTGAGAATTCTGTGTTCAAAGTACACCTCTAACCCAGGTAGACTTGAGACTTTGACCCCCAATAGTGCCTTTCAGATGCCTTACTCAAAGATAAACTCCTGGCTGCCTTCCTCTGATGGATTTGAGGATAGTCTCTCCAGAAGGGCCACCCTGTTTACACCCTGACTTGCCCCTCACAGTTCTGTTCCCTTCTACTCAAAATGTTGCAATTAGACGTCCCTTATTTTGAGTCAGGACACTGTCCCTGGTTGATATGCAAAGATCCCAGGAAGATGTATTCCATCAAAGCTTATCAATCATTAACACCTTGCTGTGAATTGGTTTTCAGGACTTTTCAACCAGACAGGTAATTAAAATTGAGCAATTGGCTAGAGAAGATGGAAAGTTCAAGTTTACATAGGGCACAGTAGGGGAAGGCTGAAGAACAGCAAAGTGGCCTCTGGCAAGTGAAGTCCTAAAATGAAGGTATGGTACTTCAAAAGCCTGAGTCGGAGTGGGGCTTATTTCCCCATCTTCCCTTCCAGCCCCCTCTTCCCCACCTTAGTTATTAAAGTCAGTCGTTTGTGGTGGGTCAGCTGGTGATGCTCAAAAAAATAAGATCTAGTTCCAAACCTGTGACTCCCAAATAATTACAACAGCAGGCAATGTGGCCTGTAGGAAGACAAAAGCACATCTACCAGTTCTGGAGTAAAGCGATCCAAGGTGTGACCATCCAACCATGGAAGTCATGGGATAACTGAAAGAACACCAAGCAAGGAGTCAAAAGACAAAGATTCTAATGCTGGTTCTGTCACATGTGTATTTGCTGCATGACATTGCCTAAGTTCCTTCCCCTCTCTGGGCCTTGGTTTACTCACCCATTGACTCAGTTATTCATTCAACTTTGTGCCAGCCTTGTGCCATGCCCTGGGGATGAATATAGTGATTAACAGATACCTTTCCTGTTCATATAAAGTTTTCAATCTAATATGAGAAATAAACGTGCAAGCAATAATTTCACAGATAATTGCCCTATAAGATGATGAAGTTGGTCTAGATCAGGGGCTTTCAACTCTGGCTATAGATTAGGACCAACTAGGGGCTTTTAGAAAAAAAAAAAAAAAGATGACTATCTGGGCATTATCTCCAAAGATGATTATTAAATTTGGTAGGGTTCAGGCATAGATATTTTTCTAATTTCCCCAGTGATTGTGGGGAACCAAGGCTGACAGCCACTGTGCAACCAGGGTTGAGAGCCACCAAGGTAGACAATATTTAGCATTTCCTCCTGCTATAACTTTTTATTTGTCTCTTATATTCTATGAGTAACCTAAGATACATATTCTCTTATATTCCATGTCTTATATTATATTCATATGTCTTATATTCTATGAGTAACCTAAGATACATATGTCTACACTGAACCCCAGAATGTAACTATCCTCTGGGGATGTCCTCTGGCTTCGTGTTCTCTGGCTTCATGTTCCGGCCCACAGGCTGGTACCTTGCTCCCTTAGAGAGACTGCCTGTGAGGGCTACCCTTCTGCCTGTCTCCAGAGTGTTCCAAATGTCAGCCACTCCCCAGGCCATCCCATCTGTGGGGCCACATCTCTGTGGCCACTCTCCTCATGCCAGTAGGCTCTGGATTCATGCTGGAACTTCTGGGCCCCTTAGACATGGGTTGAGCTCACTTGTTCAGAGAGCTCCATGCATCAGAATAAGAGGAGGAACTGACAGCCTAGCCTGTCCCTATAGATGCCCTGTGGCAAGACTCATTTCAGATCCCAAGACTTCTCTCATCCCTCCCTCCTGCCAGGGCTGGGATGAGGGGAAAACAGGAGGAACACCTAGGAGGTGCCCACCCTCAGGGTCGGGCAAGCCCAGATCAGCACCCAGAGAGGGGGTGCCTTCTTATATTTTGCACCCTGGTCCCCTCACTCACCTCATCCCTGTCCCAGTGCTGCCTCCTGCCCCAGGTTGCCATAAATATTGCAGGTCCCTATGAAAGACTAAAGTAGGACACTGTCAACCCCAAGGGCTCCATGAAGTTATTCTGTCACTCAGCCAGTATTTATTGTGTATCTCTAGGTTATAAACGCAAAGCAGACAGAGTTCCTGGCTGTCAGGAACTCACAGCATAATGGGGAAGGAAAACCTATAAGCAAGAAATAACACAAGACTGGCCAGACCAAGTCCTATAACAGAGTAACATGTGGAAGGCAGTGGAGGTTGGGATTCCTTACAAAGAGAGATGGTACGGAAGCCTTCAAGGAGAAGGCACAAGTTGACTATCCCTTATCCAAAATGCTTGGGACCAGAAGTGTTTTGGATTTTGTATTTATTCAGATTTGGGAATATTTGCATATACATAATGAGATATCTTGGGGATAGGACTCAAGTCTAAACATGAAATTCATTTATATTTCACATATATCTTATACACATAGCCTGAAGGTAATTTTATACAGTATTCTTAAATAATTTTGTTCATGAAACAAAGTTTTGGTTGTGTTTTGACTGTGACCCATCACACGAGGTCAGGCGTGGAATTTTCCACATGTGGCACCATATCGGTGCTCAAAACATTTCAGATTTTGAAATATTTTGGATTTTGAATTTTCAGATTAGGGATGTGCAACCTGTAGTAGGTTTACCTGGGACTTGGAACTAGGGAGAGAAAACAGAAAGCTGATAGCAGGCAGAAAACAGCATGAGTCAAGGTGTGGTGTGTTCTGAGGCTAGCAGATGGCTGGGCATCATTAGAGGGTGAGAGACTTGGAAAGAATGATGGGAGATGAGGTCACAGAGGAAGAAGACCAGATTTTAGAGAGCCTTGAATACCCTGTGGAGGAGTGCTGGGCTTTGATCTATGGTACACGGTGCATCTTGGAAGATTTTGAGGCAGAGGAGGAAGGTAATCAGATTTAGCATCACAAATAAAGAATTACATGTTGGGGGAAGTGGACAAGATCAGCAATGGGAAAAGCAATTGGGAGACCATTTTAACAACAGCTGGCAAGTAACGGCTGATTTTCTAAGTCAGGTGCATCAAATGCCAGAGGCTGTTATACTGTGGGCTGGAAAAGTGGACAGCACCAGGAAGCCAGCCCAGACAGGCACCCTATCATTCCACAAGCATCTGCCAAAGTGCTGGCTTCCGCAGAAAGAAAACCTAAAATCACTGGCTCAGATGTTCTCTGGGATGGCAGCCTGCAGAGACAATTGTTAGAAATGACATGCAAAACAGTCTCCATGGGTGTTGTGGCCCACATCCTGGGGTACCCTCAAGCTACCGCTGCTTTGACAAGCTTCTGTCGGGAAGAAAATCTCTTCTCTTCATCCCAGGAAGAAAAGCACCTGCCTGTTAGGTAGTTCTTCAGGTTGGGGATTAAAGGGCCCTGCTCTATCAGAGCCCCTAAAGAGGAATGTCCAAATCACTTTGAAAACTCCCTTCCTGCCCTATTCATCTGTGGCTTGAGGATTCCATGAGTATAAGATGCAGACACTGGAAACTTTAACTCTCCTAGAGTTCCCTGCTGAAATAAATCCCAGGTGTCTGTAATGAAAGTACTCATTTTGATGGTTCACTTTTCTCGATCCACACTGAGAACACCAAGCCCTGGCCACGGTCATCTCTCACCAGGCCCCTGCCTGCTACAGCCTCTGACTCATCTTCCCTGTTTTCAGTGTTGCTCTCGTTCCTCGTCCCTTTTTCCATGAATAAAGTAAGAATATGGTTTCTGAAGCACATCAGTCTGATCTGATCACATCCCTGCCTGAAATCCTTCCTGCTGCCTTCAGGATACAGTCAGGCTCCTGTGAAGGGCTCACTGGGACGCTTCATAAGGCTGCCCCATGACCTCCCTAAACCCCAAGCTCAGCAATTAAAAATCCCTTCCAATTCCCCAAATCCATCGAACTCCCACCTGCCTCTGAGCTCTGTGCAGACCGTTCTTGTTGCTTAGAGCAGTGCCAGCCAATAAAAATAGAATGGGAGCCACATAGGCAATCGTGAGTTTTCTAGTAGCCACAGTGAAAAAAAGTGAAAGAAAGGAGTGATGGTATCATGAATAACCATATTTTATAATTCAATCTATCCAGAATGTTATCACTTCAACATGGAATCAATATAAAAATGATTAATGAGATAGTTTACATTTTTTTCCATACCAAGTCTTCCAAATCTGGTGTGTATTCCACACTTACAGCACATCTCAGTGTGGACTTGCCAAGTTTTCAAGTGCTCGACAGTCGCATGTGGCTAATGGCTACCATAGTGGAAACACAGGCCTAGAGCCCCGCTGCTTCTACCCCACCCAGCTCTCTACCCTGTGGTTTAGGTCTCAGCAGCAAGGCCCGGCCTCTCGTCCTGTCTGTCCTGGTGCTCCTCCTCTGTGCTCCCGTAGCTCTCTGTCTTAGTCCATTCAAGCCACAATAACAAATTACCATAGGACTGGGCAGCCTGTAAGCAATAGAAATGTATTTCCCACTGTTCTGGAGGCAAGTTCAAGACTGGTCAGGTTCTGGTGAGGACTCTCTTCCAGCTGTGGACTGCAAACTTCTCAGTGTATCCTCACTTGGTGGAACCGGTGAGGGTCTCTCTTATGAGTGTCCTTCTGAGGCCCCACCCTCATGACCTGCTACTTCCCCAAAGGCCCTTTACCCTAATACCATCACCTTGGGCTTCAGCATATGAATGTTGTGGGGACACAAACATCCAGACCATAGCACTCCCTACAGCCCCTCTTGCAACTCTCACACTGAATTGCAAAAGCCTGTGTTCTTATCTGAATCTGAGACTGTCAGCTCCATGAGGGCAAGGACTGTATTTGTCTTCTTTATCATTCAACTTCAACACTGAGCCTAGCAGCAAACTATATATGTTGTATAGAACAAATCAGTATCTGTTGAAAGAAGAAAAATAGTCTCCTGTGTCCTCACCTGTCACTGGGAGATACTAATATACTTTGGAAATTCCCTTAAAGATTCCCTTCTACTTGACCCTCTCTCTCTCCACCATCTATGTGTACATGCACACATGCTCGCACTCATTGCACACAAATGCTCACACTCATTACATACTCTCACACTCACACACTTGCACAGTAGCATTACGCACATATGCCATACACTCTCGAACCCTCTCACACTGCCTCACACTCACTGAAACACGCTCATGTGTACACACCTCTGCACATACACATACTCACACATATTTACACACGCACTCACACATCCATACGTACACTCACACACATTGCAGAGGTTAGTGAGAGGCCCAGAGAGGTCTTCATTTGCTCCAGGTCACACAGCACAACTGGGGCAGGCCTGGCACTATATCCCAAGGTGACTGCTTAGGTGACCACACTGCCCCCCACTGGACTAACAGGACCACAAGATGTAAAAGTGTGTCTGGGTACATTAACAGTGATTTCTGTTTGCCACCAACCAGTGACTAATGCCATACCTGATCGTCAATGAAGTATATTTCTAGGTTTTTGTGCTATTCAGACAAGTTGCCCTGGCTGAGGTGCCTCAGAGAAAAACCCCGCTGATCCCCAGGGCAGGCAGAGTTTTGCTGACACAGCAGTGGGCAGCCAGGGTTTCATGCTGACCTGCCAGGACCTGGCACCTTCTCCTCCTCGACAAAGAAGGGGCTGAACCATCTCCATTAAAAAAATCACATCTCTCCCAGTCTCCTAGAAGGAAAGCAAGACTTTTGGCCTAGGTGAGGGGAGCTGTACATGATATCCTAGAGCAGTAGTCTTAAAACTGGGGTACACAGTTGTGCTGTGTGACCTGGAGCAAATGAAAGACCTCTCTGAGCCTTCTAACAACTTCTGCAATGTGGGTAAGTGCAGGTGTGTGTGAGTGAAGAAAAGGTGAGTGTGCGTACATGTGTGGATGTGTGTGTTTTGGTGTGTGAGTGTGAAAGTGTATGAAAGAGTTTGTGAGTGTATATGGATGACGGTGTGTACGTAGGTGAGCCTGTGAGTATACATCCGTGTGTACAACAGTGTTTGTAGGTGTGAAGGTGTGTGTTTGGGAATGTTTGGTGTGTGTGAGCTTGTGAGTGTGAGTGTGTGGAAATAATTCCATCCATGAGGACCTTCTGAGGTGTATTCAGATATGGCTATTTTGATCCACTGCTAGGAGATACTAAGATACTCAAACCGCATTTACTATTTCCTAGTGTCCTATCAGTCCCCTTTGCTCTCCCCATCCCTGCACTTTTTAATTGCCTTTCTCTCACTTTACAAAAGAAAGGAGTTTCCCTCACCCATTCGCAACTTTACTGTGCTTTACTCTCCAGAATGGAAAAGTTTTCAGGGCACCAAACAAAAAGGACAATTAAAAACATTTTTCAGGGGTGTGTTTCCTTATTGATAAATTAAGGCACAAAAGCTCATCTTAGGGCCTTCAGTCCTTCCCTGCTTTAGTCAAGAGCAAGCTACAAGCTCAGTAATGGGCCCTTGTAGAAGTGGTCTTTAATCAGTCATCCTATAGAGTAGCGGCAGTGGAATGTTGGCAATTTGGGGTAAGGACCTCTTCTCTGCATTCCTCAAGGCTTGTCCAAGAATGCATTGCTTTTGACAGGGTCCCAGGAGAGCAAAGAAAAGACATCATAAAGAATAACAAAGGCTAAAAAAAAGTCCTTTTTTCCTCACATATTAAACATAAGCAACTCTTTTCAAATATTCTCAGTACCAACCCTAGGATGGCCAAAAACAAAAGAAGAAGGAAAGAAGGAAGGAGGGAAGGAAAAGGGAAGGGAGGAAAGGCTCTTTGAATAGCCAAAGCAGCACAGGTTTGTAATGTTAATTCTTTTAAACACAAATAAAATGTATTCAGGGCTACTAACACTTACAAGTTAAGCCAGATAAAACCACAGAGAGAAATTGTATACGCTTTCTTTTGAATGCAGTGTGCATTATTCAATAGGTACTTAAAATCTATTTTATCAAATAATGTAATATGTATTCCAGTTACAATCAATCCTGAGACTATTTCATCTTATAAAATGTTTAAAATTTGTTTCTCCTACACCTTCTATTAATCAAAAAATAAAATTAAATGCTAGCTACTGGACCAATTCATCTTTAGTAACATATACATTGCTTTTTCATTAAATCAGTTGGAGAGTTTATCTCAATGTCTAATGAAATTAAAGGAGTTATTTCTGTTTTTTATACAAGATTTTAATTTAATTATTCCCAAAAGCCAACTCTAAAACTCAGTTCACATATGCATGCATATTTGCGACACTTTTATTATGTATTTTCTTTTGTTTCATAAATAACTTGCATTTTTGGCTTCATATAACATTTAATTGTGACTAAGTAATGAGAAACAGCATAGAGATTTATTCTTGCTTTTATAATTTACCATAAAATAGATTAATTATATTATATCCTTCATGATTTTAATCTTGACTGCTTTTTAGTAATCTTTTTACAAGATTATAAGTAATCCCTCTTATAGTAGTTTTTATAATATTCCTTCAAATATATGATGTTGATTTGAATTAAAAATTTAAGTCAGACTCTTTTTACAGAAAGTAAGTCTGATTTGCAGACTGGTTTGACAAGAAAGACTGGCTTTGCTAAAGAGATTATGCATAAGGCATTTTTCATAAATTGAATGAGCTAAATCTGAGCTATATGGTTTTGACAAAAAGACACTTGAAGCATGCAATAAAACAAATGCATCTGGCTTTTTAAAATGCATTGAAAAAAGTATATTGAAATTTACAATATTTTAATTTTTCAATCTTTTCTTTTCTTTTTTTTTTGTTTTGAGATGGAGTCTTGCTCTGTTGCCAGGCTGGAGTGCAGTGGATCTCAGCTCACTGCAACTTCTGCCTTCTGGGTTCAAGTGATTCTCATGCCTCAGCCTCCCAAGTAGCTGGGATTACAGGCATGCGCCACCACACCCCACTAATTTTTTTTGTATTTTTAGTAGAGATGGGGTTTCACCATGTTGGCCAGGATGGTCTCGGTCTCCTGACCTCGTGATCCACCCATCTCGGCCTCCCAAAGTGCTGGGATTACAGGTTGTGAGCCACCGTGCCTGGCCTCAATCTTTTCTTAATAAGTTGAATGAGACAAGTTGCTGCTAAGTTAAAAAAAAAAATGAATAAAAGATGTAATTAATAGTCATTAAATAAATTTTGGAAAAGGATTTTTGGATATTCCCAGAAATTGAGAAAGGGAATGGTTCCAATTATGGGCAACAAATACCTTAGGAAGTCTTTTTCTCTTTTGACAGAATTGAAAAAGAAAATAATTTTTGATGATAGGTCACTGTGTGATTTGGAGCATTTGAACCCAAAAAGATTTCAAATAATTGATGAAGTTACCATAATAAAATATCTGTTCCCATCAACTTACACATGTAAGCAAAATTAATCAATGTGCACATTTATAAAAGTGAAACCAGTTTTCAATAAAGAATAGAATGGATTTATATCCTTTATCATTCTAGCAAAAAGGAATATTTATTATCTAATTGGAGGATCTCACTAATCTCATTAAGAGATGTAGTCCCAATAAATTTCTACTATGTTTAAGTTAGCAATGACAAAATTTATGTTATATTTATGTTTTTTGGCAATGTGTACACTGAATTATAATGATTATTCATTGAAGAAGTAATTTTGACATTTGGAAACTTATGGAAACATACTAATAGTAAAATTTCTGATTACACACAACAATATGAATGAACTTAACATTACTGAACTGTACACTTCAAAAAGACTGTCAAGCATAAAAACATATCACATTAGAATAAAATTCTGTGGGAGTTAGAATACAAAAGTGAGTTTAAGAAGATTAGAGAATGAAATAAAATTTCTCAATGTTAAATAGCAGTTTGAGGCTGGGCATGGTAGCTCACACCTGTAATCCCAGCACTTTGGGAGGCCAAGGTGGGAGGATTTCTTGAAACCAGGAGTTCAAGACCAGCCTGAGCAACACTGGGAGACCCTGCCTGTACAAAACTTCAAAAAAAAAAAAAACAAATTGAAATAATAGAGAACAGTTTCACATAGTTTTTAAAGGACGATGATAGATCACTATAATATTCCAATTCCATTGAATACATTGAACAAGTAGTAATGGTTTCATTTTAAAGAGTCAGTACTTATAATACCCTGAAATTATACCTTTTGGAATGATTCCAAACTTAATGGAGAAAATTGTAGATGTTAGCTTAAAGATGTTTGAGGAGCTACATAGACTTTCAGAGTACTTTCAGAGGCATGTGAGGAAAACTGAAAGGCACTGTCTTTGAGCATGGGGAGAAGGCCCAGGAGAGGCCAGCCCCGTGCTTCCTGTGGAGTTGTGATTTTTCTGTCCTTGTTCCTCCCACTTCATTCCTTATGGCCATTTCTTTTTTTTTTCTTTTGCAGACAGAGTCTCACTCTGTTGCCCAGGCTGGAGTGCAGTGGCATGATCTCGGCTCACTGCAACCTCTGGCTCTCAGGTTCAAGTGATTCTCCTTCCTCAGCCTCCTGAGTAGCTGGGATTACAGACGCATGCCACCACGCTCGGCTAATTTTTGTATTTTTAGTAAAGATGGGGTTTCACCATGTTGGCCAGGATGGTCTCGATCTCCTGACCTCATGATCCACCCGCCTCAGCCTCCCAAAATGTTGGGATTACAGCCGTGAGCCATGGTGCCCGGCCTCTTACGTCCATTTCTTTTCTCCTGGAGAAAGCAGTGACCCTGTGGAGCAGTTTTTAAAGGTATGTGACCTTCTCAGGCTCTAACCATTCTATGCTGCAATAGCCTTTCTGTTCAAAAGAAAACTGAGTTGGGCCAGGTTTTTTATTATATGGACTGGTTTCATTTATTTAGGAAGGAGAGAAGGTGGAAACCTTTATTTATTGAATATCTGCCATGTGCTAGATACTGTGCAGGATGCTGTCTAAATAATCTCATTTATTAACAAGAAAAATCAAGATTATTGTCTGGGCCAGGTGGCTCACGCCTATAATCCCAGTACTTTGGGAGGAAGAGGCAAGCAGATCATTTGAGCTCAAGAATTCAAGACCCTCCTCGGCAACATGGGGAAACCCCATCTCTACAAACAATACAAAAATTAGCTGGGTGTGGTGGTGTGTGACTGTAGTCCCAGCTACTCAGGAGGCTGAGGTGGGAGGATTGCTTGAACCCGGGAGGTTGAGGCTGCAGTGAGCTGTGATCCTGTCACTGCACTCCAGCCTGGGCAACGGAGAAAGACCCTGTCTCAATAAAGAAAAAAGAAAAAGAAAAGATTATTTTTATATGTGGTTATTATTACACTAAGCATTTACTATGTACCAGACACAGAGCTGGAAACTTTACATAAACGATTTAATCAATTTCTAGAATAATCCTATGAGGTGGGAATTATCTCATTTTTCAGATAAGAATATAAATCTTGCAAGACTAAGCAGCTAGGAAGGGACAAAAACCTCATCATGATGCCAAAAGCCACATTTCGACCTCAAGCATTGTCATTCCCATTTAAAAATGAGGGTCTGAGAGTCCCAACAAGTTGCCACGATCACAATTGGTAAGACCCAAGTCAGTCTGAGTCATTCATTCCTTATTTTATTCCAGATAGGAAGGAATTAAGGCACTGCCTGATAACAACAAATAGTCATGTTTACCTAGAAGTCTCCAAGTACATTATTCGCCTTGCTTCTCTGCCAATGTTATAAAGTGGGCAGAATTGATTTTACTATGTTACTATCCCCCTTTTTTTTCTTTTTCTTTTTTTTCAAATGAAGGAACTGAAATACCCAGAACCTTTTCTGAAACTTGCATGGCCATCTTAGCATCCTTTCAGCTCCTGATAGGAGCAGTCTGACAGCTGTGAAAACCAAGCCTAGGCAGCTGATGCCACGAACACTGGGGCCCCTGAGCTCCCAGGGCTGGTACAGCTAAGCAAGGGAAAGGAGCCCCAACACACTGTCTTATGCTTTTTTGGCTATCACTGAAGGTGCGGGCTTCTAACTCACACTTCCCATCGTGTAGGGAAACTGTGTTCACAGCCTCTCTCCTGGTTTTGAGCAGGAGCTTTTGGGCCCTGGCCCAGGAGTGTTTAGGAAAGGCACATGCCTTTAGGGGTCTTGAGAAAATAATGTTAATGAGGAGGGGAGGTCGTGCGAAAAGAGAGGCCTATGGCCTATGGTTAATGAGTCGAGGCGCTTGTTTTGTTGCTTCATAAAGTCAGGGTCTTCATTGGACTTTGCATAAGGGCCTGTTTTTACTAATTATGTCCCAGGCAATGGCAAGGGGCAGTCATTTAAACATAATGTAACATGTGCAAAAATTCTAACAGTAATCTGATTACAAGAGAACCAGAGCTGTGGAGCAGCATGCTAACGTTGATAGAACGGGCAAGAGACAGACCCACGGGAGGCAGGCCCTCCCCAGCGAGGCTCTTCTGTGAACTGCCTGCAGGAGCTCCCCAAATTCCCCTGCCTATCCTATCCCACTCTTCCTGGGAATGGTGCGTTCCGAGAAAATATAAATGGTCTCATGTGTGTGCTTTTTTTTTTTTTTTTTTAGGATTAGAGAAGAAGTAGCTTTTGTTTTGTTGGGGTTTTGTTGTTGTTGTTGTTGTTTTCCCCCAGTTGACTAAACATGACATCCAACCTACAGGCTTGGAAAACAACTTGACTAGCAGTCTGAGCGATTAGACAGGACAACAGCCTGGGGTATTCTCTCGTGGACTAGGGGAAGCCCAGGCTGTCTTTTCTTCCGAAATTTGTGGCAATCATCAAAAAAGAGCAGCTGTCAAATTCGCCTTCTGCCCCAGTGGGGCCACCAGGCCACTGCAGTCTTTCTTTAATTGGTTTATTAATCTTATAATGCAATACCATCCTCTGTCTCATTGTTCCTCACTAGCTCACCAGGCCTGGACTTTGTAAATATGTTTAATTAAGCTCCCAAAGCCACAAGCCTTCTCTCTTCTTGGTTACACTCTCCCACCAGGCCGACACCAGCCAGAACTGAAACAAACAACTGGCTCCGTCCCCCTGTCCATCTGCTCCCACGTGGGGGTGGGGATGCAAGGGGAGGACATTCTGCAGGAAGAAATATCCCCCACCCTAGATGAGAGGTGCTGCCTTCCATGGCAGGAGGCCTGCTGTTCTGTGGGGAAACATGAACTAGGTGTTCCAGAGAGAGAGGAGAGAAAAGGACACCATTCAAACTTGTGGGTATAAATCTCTCTTTCTTCTAGACACCCACATGTGTTTGGGAAGGAAATCTCCCTGCTACAAAGGAGTGGCTCTTCTCTAATATGTTTTGAGCTCCCACCCTGGAAACACAGGGGGTGCAGGGAAGCTGGTGGGGGCATGGGACATGAAGTCAGGAAGAGAAGGTGAAAATATCCGGAGACAGGTCTGGGGAAGAATTGCACTTGAACATGTTCTACAACTGCTGTGTGCATGTCTGTCTTACCCAATAAACCCCGAGTCCTAGCAGACAAGGATCAGTATCTAGCACAGTGCAGGGTGTGTAGGGGACATATAAGTTTGGAAGGAGAGAAGGAGGGAAAAAGGGAGCAAGGGGAAAAGGGAGGGAGGGAAGGAATGAAGAAAAAGCAGGTGGGTGGGTGGATGGACAGATGGATGATGTGGTAGGGATTTGAACCAGGGACCACATTCACTGTTATACAGACCATGTGGCTTCAGGAAACCAAACAATGGGGTTCTTTGCATAGAAGAGTCTCTTCCTAGGAAGGTATTCAGAGAGTTTGGTCAGAGATGGCTTATATGAAGTCTGCATTGGATACCACCAAAATAATGCCAGGAGGAAGGAAAAAAACCCAATCTCTACCACTTGTTTTGAAGACAAGATGCTAAACAACTCACTGCTTGGGTTGCAGAGGTTTTTAAAATTTATTCATGTATTTGTTTTTACTGAATTGTGTGCACAGGGCACTCAGAATATACAAAACAGTAAACATTAAATCTACCATCCGGATATTTCTAAACATCTGGGCATTTGGCATCACATTGACCCCAACATGTTGTCATATGACCGTGGAGTTGGAGCCCAGAGCAGACACAGGCAGAGGAGGCAGCACATGGAGAGGGGTGTTTAGCTCACCCATCCCAGAATGCCTGTGGATGTCCATGTCTCAAATACTCTGATGTATTGTCAGGCTATGTCCAAATTTTTAATTTGGAAACTATAGTCACAATAGATACAGGGATAAAAGAAACAGTATGAGGGAGAGGGAGAAAAAAAGGAAGAAAAGACAGGGAAGGAAAGACAGCAAATGAGAAAGGGACCTGGCTGGGGCACTTCTTTGAGCAGTGGGGATGGAACAGTTAGAAAACGCGTGCCACACCGTATGGCATTCCCAAGGGGTGCTGTTTCCACAGCCACCGTCTAACACTGTCGTGGGCTGTTCTCATCCCAACCCCAAGGCTCAGATGGAAATAGCCCAAGCACTAGGTTCCCCTGGAGCTTACCTTACACCAGGTTTAGTAACACTGTCGTTTTCCTCACCTCAGTGGTGTGGGACAGAGAGGGAAGAGTGAGAATCTCCCCATTCTACAGACAGGGAAGCCAAGGCTCGGGAGGGAACAGAAGGTAGCCAGCGATGAGCTGAAAGGTGGAGGTAAATCTAAGCTCCTTGTTTCCAGGGTGACATCTGGATGTTTTTCCCTTTTTTTTTTTTTTTTGAGACAGAGTCTCCCTCTGTCGCCCAAGCTGGAGTGCAGTGGCACAATCTCAGCTCACTGCAGCCCCTACCTCCCAGGTTCAAGCAATTCTCCTGCCTCAGCCTCCCGAGTAGCTGGGACTACAGCATGCACCAGCACACCTGGCTAATTTTTATGTTTTTAGTAGAAATGGGGTTTCACCATGTTGGCCAGGCTGGTCTTGAACTCCTGACCTTAAGTGATCCACCAGCCTCAGCCCCGCAAAGTGCTGGGATTACAGGTGTAAGCCACCGCACATGACCATTTTCCTTTTCTAGAGGTAAGAGCTCAGAGAAGCCTTAATTGAAATAATTCCCCGCTACCCACATATAGATCAAAAGACAGGCAAGATGAGGCGAGACTGTTTGGAAGCCTGGAGAAGATTGGCACCACTTTAAACATGGCCCTCCACATACACACCTCCTCATACCCAAACATACACATGTTCATGCCACATGTCCTTAAGATTTATTTTGTTAAACCCATGAAGTGAAGACCATCCTCTCTACAGAGTCCCCCTGCCTGCCTGCCTGCCTGCCTAGAATCTCCCTGTGTTTTTATTTCCTGTACTGGGTGATTGATTACAGAAGAGCAAATTAGCTCCTACTGCTTTTAAGATGCATTTTCTTTCTTAAAGAGAAGATGATGTGAGCATTACTTCTCCCTGTCCACTGTGTGCCTTGGCTTTGGGCCTGTAGTCACTGCAGCTTTGGTAGGGCCTTCCTGGAAGGGAGGAGTACAGCAGCATCTGCTAGCCTGCAGCTAGGCCCACCCTGGGGGCCCAGTCCTGCACCCACTCTGCTTTCCCCAGGCTTCTCCTCCTGTCCCAGGAGACTCTCTGGTTACTCCAAACTATTTTCACCCTTCTCTCTGTACCAATACATGTGAATTCAGTTGCCTAGCAGAGTAGATGCTGTTGAATGAATGATGAAGTAAATGATGAATGAATTATAAAGACTAAAATCTCAACTTAATGAAATAAATGTGCTCTGGGCTCCAAAGCATGCTCCCCTGCCCACATCTCTGTCTCTCTCCTCTCTCTGTCTCTCTGTCCTCTCTCTCTCTCTCTCTCTCTCTCTCTCTCTCGTGGGTCTTGCTATTCAAAGTAGTTCCTGGACCAGCAACATCAGCAGTCACCTGGGAGCAAGGTTCCAAGGAGACCTATATACAAATTAAACCTCGAGAAGCACTGCTGTGTGGTCCTGAGTGGAGGCAGGCTGGTAGACAAAATGATCTCTCAAGGCCCCTCATTGCTTTACATGTCTCTCAACATGATCTCAGATAAAGACGGTTACGAGAAGACTTAGCCCAGGGTCACTGTACACCTACAGGGCCGGCCTGGAATGTGGAAGGTAGAATTTCAACTCTTTCCCTCCCGGTCTAGTCCTTCCTGCTGTAATGCTCCTTTGGAGGTCCCAGCTGACAGAGTCAGAGCACAGCATGGCTTTGCTCTAACTAATTGCCAACAGTTGGCTGAAGCTACATTTGTTATTCAAAAAGCCTCATTAATCTCCTAATGCCAGTGTAGCCATGGCTGCTAATGGTGCCTCTCATCTCCCCACACCCAGTTCCGGATGGGGCATCCTGGCTCCTGGCAGCAGAGCAGCAGGAAATGGCTTCCTTCTCAGAAGGCTAAGCTAGTATCTGGGGTCATGGAGCCGGGCTGATTTAGAACCTGGCTGAGTTCCACCTGTGGATGGAGTGGTACTAGGAGGCTGGACTCAAATCTGGGTCATCCTTGGGTCACAGAGCCTTGGAATGGTTCAGGTAGGTGGAAGAATGGATTATAGAATACCACAAGAAGGCTTATGTGAGACCTCTTGGATGAGCTGAGCTGAGCTGCCCCCTCACAGCCAAATCAAGAAATCCACTGCTTGTCTCTTGGGTATAGGGATGGGCTCTATCTCGCGAAACCCTGCAGCATGTTTGGACATGGAAGAGGTGCCTTCCAGAAAGCTCATGATGGGGAAGTCCTGAACAACTAGAGAGCCTTTGCCAAGGTTGAATCGAGGTTGAAACCTGCATGTATCCTATGGCCCAGAGAACATGATTTCAGTGCTTTCCTGTCTTCTTTCTCTAAGTTCTGCCTCTGTGGGTCTGTCTTTCCACGACTATAAACTCCGAAGGGACGGGATCTGCTGTGTCTTTCACACCTAACCCCTCACATCCCCAGTACTGGCCCTGCTGACTCATGAGCCATCCACCTGACTCACAGTCAGATATGGAGGTACAGGAGAGAGTATGAGGGGGACGGGAAGAAGGAGAAATAGCAGAGGAGAAAAAGGAGCAAGCAAAGAAGAGAGCTGGCAGAGCATACCTCTGGGCAGGGAGAATACGATGAGTATCAAGAATAAGACGCTCCGTGAAGACTCATGCCACTGCCCCCAGTGGCTATGGGTCTGGACCCAGATGGGTGCACCAACCGCAGCAGCAGGGCTGAGACAGGCGCAGCCTAGGAGGGCTCCATCCTCTTTTTACTTCCAAAATTTTATTATAACATTTTCCAGACAGAAAAATTGAAAGAATTTCACAGAAAATGCCCAATATAGATAGTGGGTATATAGGTGCCCATCTTTTTCGCTGTTTTTGTTTTTCCAAGGGACCAGATCCTCTGGCCTCGATCAATTCAATCCCATCAGTATTGCCCAAGCTTAGATGCGCGGGCAGCCTTCTCACCAGCCATTATTAAGGTATTTGTTAGAACAACACTGCCCCCTGCTGACTACAGGCTCTCACTTCTCTGGGACGGCTCTGCCTTGCAAAGGGCTAAGAGAGGGCTGGATCAGATTGTTCCTTCCCAGCCCTTTGCTTTGTCCCTCCCGTGTCTACCCTTAGCTTTGCCTCCACCCTCAACTTTAGTTCCTGGGGCACCCGCCCAGGCACAGCAATGAGCACCCGACTGAGACTCAGACAAGCTCAGACAATTAAGCAATGTGTGAGGCCAGCAAATGTCTTTTATCTTCATTTTTCTACAACTTTTCACTGAGTACTGCTTGTGTGAGGTGCAGCACTAGGGCTGTAGGCAGGGCAAAGCTATGTCTCCAGGCTGTGGATAAATAACTTGACCGCCTGGAGCCTCACTTTCCTCCTCTGTGAAATAGGGATCATCAGACTCTTTCTTTTCTGCTTCAGAGAGGGGCTGTCAAGCAAAGAATGAGAAAGAGCGCAATGAACCTGATGGTTTCAGACATAACTGGGAAGATCTAGAAAGCATTCACCTTCTTAAGGCTACAACTGAACCTATTTCCAGGTGATTTCTTAACTTCAGGTAAGTAGCTTGGGCCTTAGTATATGTATTAGTCCGTTTTCACGCTGCTGATAAAGACATACTCAAGACTGGGGAATTTATAAAAGAAAGAGGTTTAATTGACTCACAGTTCAGCATGGCTGGGGAGGCCTCACAATCATGGTGGAAGATGAAGGAAGAGCAAAGGAACATCTTACGTGGTGGCTAACAAAGAAAAAATGAGAGTCAAGCAAAAGGGGTTTCCCCTTATAAAACCGTCAGCTCTATTGAGACTTATTCACTACCGTGAGAACAGTATGGGGGACACTATCCCGATGATTCAATTATCTCCCACCAGGTCCCTCCCACAACACATGGGAATCATGGGAGCTACAATTCACAATGAGATTTGGGTGGGGACAGAGCCAAACCACATCAGTATATTTGTAGTTAAATATTCTCAGGTGTTTAGTGTTTAAATATCTCTACCAAAGGAAAGAAGTAAAGCAGAATGGATCATCCCAAACACTGGTGGCCTCTGGGGCAAGCTCCCTGTATAACTGGAAGCTGACAGAGCGAGATCTCACCTCAGGCTTCTGGCACCTGTTTCATTCAAGATCAGTTACAGCTGTGGTTCTCAATCCTGAGCTAGATCAGAATTACCTGAGGGAGTTGTTAAAACCCAGACTCTGGCCCCATCCTCAGCCTCTGATTCAGCTTGCGTGGGGTGAAGCCTGGGGGTTTGCATCTCTTAAACATCCCCCGATACTTACCTGGGACCAGACTGGGAACCACTGAGCTCGGCTCCGCTTTGGCAACAACTCCTGAATCTCAGTGACTTTGCACCACAGAAGTTTATTTTTCGCTTGTGCTACCCATGGATAAGAAAGAGTCAGTGCAGCTCTGCTCCACATAGTCACTCAAGAGCCCAGGCCCACTTAGGTCCCCCCACCCACCTTATAGCTGCAGCTTCTGGAACATGTGACCTTCTTGGTTGCTGTGGCACAGGAAAAGAAACTGAAGAATCATGTGTGGGCTTTTAACTGTCTCAGCCCAGAAGTGATGATATAAGCCACATGCACTCACATTTCACTGACCAGAGCTACTCACATGGCCCTGCCCACATTCCAGGCAGGAGTCTTCCATGTCTCTAGAAGAAGTGGATTGGATGTTGGTGAATGCTTGTACTTGTGGGGACAAGAATGACTTTATTTTAAATGGTAATTCATCATGTAACTTATGACTAACCCCGAGTCCAGGAATGCCTCCAAAATGTCTAGTTGATGTATTACTCTTTATGTAGGAACATCTATTCATTGTAAGTTTCCTCCAAAACAACCCTTGTAGTTGCAGAAATCAAAGGCTGTGACACCCATAGCCATCTACACATCCCTTCCAGAGCATGTATGCTTTTTCTTCAAGATATAAGCCCTGGGTCTGGGGGGTGTTGTGGTGCAGAGATCTACCTGTCTTGGGACCACCCAAGACCTTGCTTCTGCCTGTAAGTTCCCCATAATAAATCATTCAAAACTGACAAACTATATTTGTCTGCCTCTTTCTTTGGTTACTTGGCTCCTTCTGCATTTGGAGGTTGCCTTATACATGCGGCCCTTTCATGGAACAGTACTGTCAACCATACCAAGCAAGCATATCTCTTTTCACTCTCAAGAACATGTGTGATCACAGCAAAATGGGGTGGTGGTTAGCGGGAACAAATATCTGGCCTCATAAGTCTTGGTCATTTATGATGATGATGATGATGATGATGACAGAAAATAACTACTGAGTGCTCACTATGTTCCAGGAACTGTTCTAAGTAGTTTTTGTGTATCAACTCGTTTAACCCTCACAATAACCTTACATGGTAAGTACCATTTATACCCATTTTATAAATGAGGAAACTGAGGCAAAGTGTGATTACATCGCTCACCCAGGTCATAGAGCTATAAGAGACACAGCTGGGATTATAATCCAACCAGTCTGACACCAGAGTCCATGTTTTAAATCACTGTTCTGCTCTATCACTACCCAGCTAACTTTATTTTTGAAGATAAGAGGAGACTATAGTAGAAGGCCTGATTATGATTAATAGATAAGTGAATAGTTCAAACCCGAATAATCCAAATACAAACAGTTCTACAGAGAGGGGATCCCCACCCAAGCATCTCTACTGATATCCCAAATATGCCCAAATATGTCAAAATGGTTTCCAGTTCCAACAGAAGGGCTTTCAGGGTCCTCACCAATGCCCCACAATGTCTGGAAGGCCATTCAGGTAGTGTCTGTTCCCCCCTAAAATCACACTCTTCCTAGTAAATTGATCAGGAGGATGGACAATTTTTTTTTTTTTTTTTTGCATTTCTCAAAGAATTGCCTCCCAGGTCATACAGATCCCCCTTAGGAGGATCTTATGCCCACTTTCCTCCCTGTTTCCCCCTACACTTCCCCTTGGCCCTATTCCATCTGGAAAGACAAACTGTAGAGTCCCCAACCTGACCCAAGCATCTACTCTTTCTCTACCCTGGTGGGCCAGTGGCAGGTTCTTATTTGACAATATCATCATAAGAGGATTTAAGTCTTAGCATCAGTAAGAAAAAGCAATTCTTCAGGTTGAAGCATCTACACAAAAAATAACCTTTCTCCCTACTGATTGTGATAGCCTCTTGTAACTTCAATAAGTATGCTATTAAAAACTCTGTTTCTTTATTCTGTCTCACCAAATACCCCCTCCCCACAATAAATTGAGAAATGAAATATATATATATATGAGATAGAAAAATCCCACCTGGACTCACTGGATTAGGTGAATTTGTTTTCCTCATTGGTGGATGCGTAGGATTTAGCTGCAAAGAGCCTCTGGCCAGCAGAGGGCGATAGTCTCATAGCTTCAAATGTAAGCTACAGGTCCGCCCTCAAAGGTATCTCTCGGGGAATGTTTCCCTCATCAAGAAGAATCTGTTTAATCCGAAACACAGGACGCTCGATGGTTCTTGTTAGTGCCTCAAATGGAGTCAATCAGTGGCCTCAAAATGTCAGATTTCCTCCCTGGGTTTTACGAGTCTCTCATTTCCTGTTTTTCTTAATGAAAGTTCAAAATCTCCCTGGCAATGATTTTGAATCACCACAGTTTTCAAGAAATCTGAAAATCCTATTTCTTTTGGTTGGACAGCCATCAAAGATACATGTCAGTCATTCCATCCATCTCTCTTTCTCTCTCAGTCACACACACACACACACACACACACACACACTCAACTTTCACAATTCTTGCTGACAGCTCAAACCCATGTCTGCAACCAGAGATCCAGCAGAGAAGAAGGAATGGTTGGAAATTGACTAAGCACTCCAACAAGTTATTTTGCATCGATGATCTGTGTTATGAGAGGTCTCCAACCTGCTCAAAGGTGTGCTTAGCATTACTAAGGGCACATGGAGTAGTGGCTAAAGCAATTCTTTCTGGTCCGGTCTCCAGGTGGTTAAAGGCATGAAACATATCTTTCCTCTCTTGCAAGAGTACCTATCAGATGGACCAGCAGTGGGGATTGTGCTTTGGAAAAAGGCAACAGCAACCCACCTCTTGGCTAATTCTGACATAGAAAGCATATTGCACCCACAGCTCCTGAAGGGCACCCCATGGGCTCTGACTCAGATTGAAAGGGAAAAAATGGAGATCCAAGATTTCACGCTGTCAGCGAATCCGTGTCTTCAGAGGGTGGCAAAGGCAGACTTGGGATCCTTGGGAGCTCTCCCTCCAGCACTTGAGCCGGGAGGCATGCTGAGCCCCATAATTCCTTACTGCAGCCCTGCCCAGCCAAGCAAGCTTCCTGCCCCAGAGTTCAGTCTTAACCATCGCTGCGGAGGTGCGTTAGTTTGCTAGGAGGACTGCCTAACAAAGGTCACAAACTGGGTGGCTAAAATGACAGAAATTTACTGTCTCACAATTCTGGAGGCAAGAAGTCTGAGATCAAGGAGTTGTCAGGGTTGGTTCCTTCTGAGGGCTGTGAGGGAGGATCTGTTCCATGTTTCTCTCCTAGATTTGGGTGATTTGCTTGCAATTTTTGGCATTCTTTGGCTCATAGAAGCATCATCCTATGATCATGAACCTTTATGTTCATGTGGCGTTCTGCCTGTGTGTGCCTGTGTCCAAAGTTCCCCTTTTTATAAGGACATCAGTCTTACTGCATTAGGGGCCCACCCTCCAACAGTATGACCTCATCTAAAATTAACTAATTACATCTACAATGACCCCACTTCCGAATGAGGTCACATTCTGGGATACTGGAGGTTTGGACCCCAGCATATAAATTTTGGAGGGACACAATTCACCTCATAATGGGAGGGCATGCCTCCCCTAACGACCAACCCATCTTCCAGGCTAGATGGGGATGCCAATGGCCAGGGGATAAAGCAAACAAAAAAAAGCCACATTCATTAAGTAGATTTTATTTATTTTATTTTATTTTATTTTATTTTATTTTATTTTATTTTATTTTATTTTTTTAGACAGAGTCTCACTCTGTCACCCAGGCTGGAGTGCATGGTGCGATCTTGGCTCACTGCAGCATCTGCCTCCTGGGTTCAAGTGATTCTCCTCCCTCAGCCACTCAAGTAGCTGGGATTACAGGCATATACCACCACACCCAGCTAATTTTTGTATTTTTAGTAGAGATGGGGTTTCACCGTGTTGGTCAGGCTGGTCACTGATTGGTAAAATTTTAAACAAGAGTGGTATGTTCCATCAATCCAGCAGGGCTAGGAAAGAATGGGAATGGGAGAAGGACAAAACTAGAGGAAATAAGACCAACTCAGAGGCTTTTACTATAATCCAGGTAAGAGATGATGAAGTCAACCCATGAAGAGATGGAGAAGAACATGCAAATATAAGAAATATTTAGGAGGTAAAATCAGCGAGGCTTGGAGGCTTATCAGATGTTGTGGAGTAAAGGAGGGTGGAGAGTGCAAGTGGCTCAGACTTCTAGGTTGGATGATGGAGAAGACGACAGAGGACACAGGTGGAGGAACAGGTGGGGAAGAAGATGTCAGGGTCATTGTATGGCTCTGCTTTACCCCAATCCTTCATGCTCCCGGCTTCACTTCACTATCTATTATCTAATGGTTTCTCACTCCCTGTTTAGGTGCAGTTGTGGACATGCTGAACTTGAAGTGACTATAGGACAGGGGTGGTGTTCATCCCTGCCTTCAAAGAATTCATGTTCTAATAGAGACGACAGACTCTATTAGATGTGTGATCCAAATATGCCTAGACTCAACTACTTACAATTCCACATTCCATGCTCCACAATCCCCAAAGTGCCCTGGAAATCTAAATAGAATTTTTTAAAATATAAATTTGAAGTAAGTTCATTTGGCAGCAAAACGGAACTGAATGGACTTGAGCTCACGACTTGACTCATCAACTGTGAACAGGGGTAGGTTCTACACAGAAGTTGTGATGCCCATTAGAGTCATATAATGGGGAAATGAGCATTTTCCAGCAGAAAGGGGGTAGAAGTGCAGAAAGGGGAAAGGGTGCTGTTTAGACCTCGTAGATGTTCTCCATGCTCATCAGACCTCACTGGCTGTCAATATTGCATTATTCTTCCTGTTCTATAGATAAAACTAAGGCTCAGATTCATCTGAAGTCACCCGACAGGGACTCAAATTTAGAATGGAAAGCTCTTCTATGAGATGAGAATTTGCAAAGAGATGCTAGGACCTGAACTGTTTGTTTGTTTGTTTGTTTGTTTGTTTGTTTGTTTTGTTTTGTTTTAGATGGAGTCTCACTCTGTTGCCCAGACTGGGGTGCAGTGGTGCAATCTCAGCTGACAGCAACCTTCGCCTCCCAGATTCAAGCATTTTTCGTGTCTCAGCCTCCTGAGTAGCTGGGACTACAGGTGCGTTCCATCGAGCCCAGCTAATTTTTTGTATTTTATAGAGACGGAGTTTTACCATGTTGCCCAGGCTGGTATCGAACTCCTGAGATCAGGCAATCTGCCCTCATCAGCCTCTCAAAGTGCTAGGATTATAGGCATGAGCCACCATGCCTGGCTCTGAACTGTCTTTATACTAAGATTTGTGATTGATTGACTTTTTCATGTCACATTCCAGTTGTTTTCATGTTGAATAAACATCACCCATAGACGTGTTTTGTTTTACACACCTGAGCTCTAATATACCCTTCTCCAATCCATGGGCTAGAAGCAGAATCTCTCTCAGGGGTCTTGTTCTGAAGGGAGAAATTTTGCCATACTCTTCTTGAGAAGATAAAAGGTGCAGAACAGTCCTTGAATTTAAAAACTAGAAGTAGACAGCCGGGCACGGTGGCTCACGCCTGTAATCCCAGGACTTTGGGACGCTAAGGCGGGCGGATCACGAGGTCAGGAGATCGAGGCCATCCTGGGTAACATGGTGAAACCCCATCTCTACTAAAAAATACAAAAAAGCCAGGCGTGGTGGTGGGCGCCTGCAGTCCCAGCTACTCGGGAGGCTGAGGCAGGAGAATGCCGTGAACCTGGGAGGCGGAGCTTGCAGTGAGCCCAGATCGCATCACTGCACTCCAGCCTGGGCGACAGAGCAAGACTCTGTCTCAAAAAAAAATAAATAAATAAAATTTAAAAAAAAAAAAAAAACTAGAAGTAGGCTTTGTGGAACACAGAGGAAGCAGGTAATACCTGTATGGATGGTTTATCAGTGTCTCTGCTGCAGGTTTCATATGTCAATTCTATGCACAAAATGTCTAATATTTAATGGTGGCAGGAGGCAGAGTCCCTTGGGATTCCATCAGACACTAATGCTGCCTTGCTCTGGTTAGAAGGCTGGGATATCTGTGCCTGTGTTCACTTTTTGGAGAAAAGAGGACAAAGCAATGGTCATGAGTCTGGTCTATTGACTTGTTGGCTCATTGCACCCTCAGCTCCTCAGCTGCAACTGAGAGAACTTCAAGCCTATGTACCCAGCAGCAGACTCAGCATGGTCCCAAGCCTGGACACCAGGACCGTCTTCCTTTAAGGAGCCTCAAAGCCCTTTTAGTTCAATGTTCATGAGACTCAGTCAGCATCCAGCCTTTCTCAGGCCCAATGCTGAACTGTGTATAAGTCTCTGCCTTGCTCCCACAACCAATTCTCTTCCCTGAACCGGATATTCCCGTGTTGCCATCTCTGCATTGGAACTCTGCCCAGTGTCCAATTCCACTAGGACAAAGACATGTCCTTGCTTTTTGTTTCCACCCTCACCTTGGGCTTGGAGTATTGCCTTGATGGCTCTTGCCCTGAATTCTCCCACCAAACCTCCTCATGCTACCTGCCAGCCTGCTTCCTGAATTTTAATTTACATTTGTTGGATGAATTAGTAAGTTACTAGCTGCTACACACTGGGTAGTTAAAGCCACAGAATCTACTCTAAGGGCTCAAAATTTAGTGAAATGGATTAATTTAATAATTGAAAATTTTGCATATAATG
Source organism: Homo sapiens (assembly GCF_000001405.40). Taxonomy (NCBI): domain Eukaryota; kingdom Metazoa; phylum Chordata; class Mammalia; order Primates; family Hominidae; genus Homo; species Homo sapiens. The sequence goes on from NC_000001.11 coordinate 209,574,221, forward strand.
GAATTATGAGTGAGGTATTGCCAAATGTTGTAGAGAGAGAGGATTATTTTGTTATGGAGGATTTCATAGAGGTGGCAAGATGTGAGCTGCTCTTCAAGCATAGTTAGGAATCCTCTAAACAGAAAAGGAGCGAACACTCCAGGCAGAGGAAATGGCCCATGCAAAGGCACATGGCCTGAAAATCTCAGATACTGTCTTCTCTTAGACTCCCTATTCTATGGGAACACTGCTGTATGCACACTTGTTGTGATGCCCCACCTCGCTTCTCATGGGAACTTTGGGATGTGATGATTTGTTGGACATAGCACCCATTCCCTATCACCACCCTCTCTAGATACGGAGCTCCTTCTGGTGTCTAAATCTTTCCATTTTCAGCTGGGTTACAGGCTATGATAAGATCAACCTTACCTTATAAAGAAATGTCCAAAATGCCTGGCCTGGGCTTACTTCATCGGCTGACACTTGCAGAGCTTCCTAGGGCTATAAAAGGAACAGGGTCTGCCTTGGTGCTGCCCTTTTCTTCTGTCTTTGAAATCTGCCTTCTCGTGCCCAAACCCAGGAGAGGACAGAAGTTTCTCCTTCCTCTTTCCCTTCTCTCCCCTTCACACCATCTTGCTGCCAAACAAGGGGCTGATTTCAGTATCCCTATTTAGGGTCCTCTGGACCTCAAAATCAATCAATAATTTTCTGGCATCACCACATCACCTGGCCTTGCCACCTTCACAAGAATATAATTCTTTGTCTCTTTGCAATCCTTTAGGCTGGTTGTTTTTCCCAAGGTTTTGGAAAACCTGGGCAGACCATTCTTTCTGCTTCCCTCCACCTATTGTGGGGAGGTAGAAATGCTGAAAGCTAAGATCAATACAATCCATAACAAGGACTGGCAATGCCAGCCTGCTTTCTGTCCTCATGCTGAGGACTTGTCTCTTAACATGGAGCAGAAGGAACCAGCCTTGGATCTGGAGTGGCTATTGTGACTCGTTTCCAATTCACTGCACAGAGAAGGAGCCAGGCCATTGTCCTCAGCCCACAGACCTTGCTCTGGAAGCATTGTGCCTGCATTCCACCCCTATGCGAGGTTCTTTCAATCCATCTCTGGAGGTCAAATGTGGACCATGGCACTGAAAGCACTCAGACAAGAGATCTGGTGTTTAAATCAAGCAATTGTTTCCTTTCTCAGGAGTACATTATTTCTGCTGATTTCTACTTATTGTCAGTCCTATTATTTATATATTCCATCTCAGGAACAACAGCAGAGGAGAACATGTAGCTGATGATGATGCTGCTCCCTCAGAAACTCTCCTCCTCCTGAAAGCCTAGAAGAATGGAAGAGAGAAGGAGGGTGGGAGTGAGAGGTGTTCACCTCCCTGCAGGGGATGCAAAGGGAAAGGACAACTGGAAGAAGGATTTTCTTGTTGCTACTCTCCCTAGGGCCAGCTGGGGCTGGATGTGTCCCCAGAAGGCTGTCTGGCTCCCAAGCCCTAGGCATTCTAGTTGTTCAAGAGTCCTGGGTGTCACCCTCCCAAACCCATTATAAGGGAAAGATTTTGTCTTTCACTTGCCTCCCTCTTTCTGACTAAGTCCCCTAACTAGGGCATATATTGATTGGACTCCTTGGAGATGAGAGTGCTCGGGAGCTCAGTAGGGTTCCTCTAGACAGTTATTCCAAGAGGTGAGGGTGCCTGTAACCTCTAAATCACAGGATCTTAAGCTGAGATCTCACTATACATGGAAGTCCTCCGTCCCAGACCTCTGGCTTATGGGTGAGCATGCGTATGCACCCTCTCGCCTTCTGTGTGAACACTGTCCCCTCCTAAGCCCCATTTGCTCCCTTCACCCAGATCTCTGGAGCCACCTTACATACCATATTACATACCATATTGGTCTCTGCCATGTCTCAAACTGATTCAGAGCCCCAATGCGTCCTCTTCCTGAGTGCTTGTCATTTTCCAAGCAATTCACATACATTATCTTATTTAGCACTTATGACCTTCTTATACCCAATTTATGCTTGAGAAACTGAGGCTCAGAAACGTTTTTAAAACTGTCTGACTCAGCCTCTGCACTACAGTGAGTCTCAAAAAGGTGTGCACATATTACAGAATGTCAGGATCTATCCAAGGAAGGGATTCATAAAGGTCATCTATTCACTCAGAAGAACTTTCCAGAATGCCTGTGCCATGCCTGCTCTTTGATGGTCACTGTGGGGGACAGAAAAGACTCTCGGGAAATCCCTGTGATCCCATTGAGTCCTTTCCACAAGTGGGGAAGGGGCCCAGTAATTGTCCCTGGGAAGTCTCCAGAAGGCTGACTTGCTGAGGGAGGCTGCAGACAGCTCCCTCTTAAGGCAGAAGAGGGAGATGGGCGGTGGGGGAGCAGTGACAGCTCACTGCCTGCGCATCGCCTTACCCACAAGAGACACCTGCAAATATGTGTTGGTTCTTAAAATATTAAAGAAAAGGAGCAGCAGTTACTGCCCATATCAGAAATATGATGCTCCGGTTGTGCAATGGGTTACCACGTGGAACTTATACAGAAGAAATATGGAGAATTGTGAGGCAAGGCAGAAGGAGGGGTTGGTCAGACACAGTGCCACCAAGAAAAATCCGTTCTCCCCACCAGTCAGCCAGCGGGGAGGACACAGGCACCTCTGGGCCTGTTGCTAGACAGGGCACTGTCACTAGAGGGCAGTGCAGCTCATTCTTGGGAGTGAGGGAGCCTGGTCATCCCATCTCCCACAGAGCAATCCTGCTGGGAAATCACCGTGTCCCAGCGGGGCAGGGAGGAGCAGCACCTGGAGGTAGGTAGACTCGAGATTCTAGGGGTAGGGGACAAAGGTGACATTACTTTTGATGTTTTTATACACATTCTTTCGTTTTATTTGACCCTGACAGTAGACTCCTGGGGTAGACTGAGATCTTTAGCCCAATTTGACAGATGAGAAGACAAATCATGAAGGTTAGACTCATCCCAGGTTACCCAGCTAATAAAGGTGCCAGGTTCCCTAAGCCCCAGTCCCAAGTTGAATCCAGGGCTGTCTGTAAACATGATGACATGGGCTAGATTCCTTAGTGAAATTCTCACTGTTGTAATTTCTCCCTTTGTTACTTGTGTATTCCCTAGAGCGTTGGGAAGAAACAGAAAAACAAGGTTAAAATGGAATCGCTCAATCAGATACATTGTAAGTAGCTTTGATAAAAGTTTGGATGAGGCAAGGGATACTTATGACTACCCACTTCCTTTGACTCCACTCCTGCTGGCCTTTCCAGGCCACATCCTGGTGACCTTGGAGAGTCATCGCAAATGCCTCCAGCTCTGGATACAGAAATGCATGTGGATAATGAAGGATGCAGAGGTGAAAGGTCCTCCAGTCTCTGCTGAGGATCAGAAGCAGGTTCCCATAGGAAGTGACTAGGTCATAGCCAGAAACCAGAAGCCAAGGGTGATGAGATTCATCCTGTCCTCCATCAACTCTTCCTGGAACATGACATAGACCCAGGCTGGGGTCATTTGGGAATATGATTTAAAGCAGTAGAGGTGATAGATTCTTTTAGCACATAGACACAAATCACACACATGAAGAGAGGGTTGGATGGTCAGATGAAAATCTACATGCCTTGTAGACATTCCACCTGCAAGATCCCCTGCTACCCCCACGTCACCCAAGGTACAGTTAGACATAACCAAATGCTTGATGAACACTGGCAGAGGCTGAGGAGGAGGATTGAAGAATCTGGGAAAGAATACATAGGATGGAGAGGCCCAGGGAAACAGGAGAAAAGAAGAAAGTCCAGGTGGGAAGAGTTGATACCTTCCTCCTAGGCAGAGTGGCCATGAGGACTCAGCCAGACATCCTGGATGAATGGCCCACCTCTGACACACAACTCTCTGCAGCATCTAAAGAAATTGGAAGATGCAACACAAACCAAACAATGGGCCATTTTGTACATTCTTCAGGATTCTGTGTGTCCATGGGGGCAGCCCATGGTAAGCCTGATATGGTTGGGCTGTGTCACCCACCCTAATCTCATTTTGAATTGTAGCTCCCATAATTCTCACATGTCATGGGAGGGACCCAGTGGAAGGTAATTGAATCATGGGTCTTTCCCGTGCTGTTCTCCTGATAGTGAATAAGTCTCATGAGATCTGATGTTTTTATAAAGAGGAGTTCCTCTGCACAAATTCTTTCTGTTTGCCTGCTGCCATCCATGTAAGACAGGACTTGCTCCGCCTTGCCTTCTGCCATGATTGCAAGGCCTCCCCAGTCCATTAAACTCTTTCCTTTATAAATTACCCAGTCTCTGGTACGTCTTTATTAGCAGCGTGAGAACAGACTAATACAAAGCCCATGTACTTATCATCCATTGTCCTCCTCCTCCCTTCCACGGTGTCAAATGGCAAATGGTGTCAAACTCAGGACACACCAGAAAACTCTCATTTTCAGGATTTATTTAGCCCTTCAATTTTCAGGACTTTGTGGAAGTGTAGAGGTCATTGAAGCCTGGTTTCTACCCTCAGAGGGCTTATCATCTAAGCGGCAACCCTGACATGTATCATACCAATTTTAACCCAAGCAGAGTAGGGCAGGTGCCATTGCAGAGATGCAAGAGCTTTGGAAGAAAAGCGAAAGAGTCATCATTTGCCTGTAGACCCAGGGAAGGATGCTCAGGAGAGGAGAGTTTTTAAAGATCCAGCTCAAATAAAAGATGAACATCTCGCAGGCTGCAGGAACAATGTTGTCCAAGACACAGCAGTGTAAAATATCTATTCCTGGAAATACTAGCAGTCTGGTGTCTTATTTTTAACATAAATAAATACTAAAGCAGCGAGTCTTGCATTGATTCATGCCTGTGAGCCAGTCCATCTCTATGGTCCTATAATTTCCATTCCCTCCCTCCAGCCCTCATTCGCTGATCAGGAGCACATTCTATTCTCTGTTATCCAACCTCCAACTGGAGATATGTTTTGAAATAAGTGATATTTGCTCTTTGGTGGCCCCTCTTCCTCCTCATTATCTGTCCTATCATGCCTTCAAGGCCTTGCACGATCTGCTCCTTTTCCTGCCTCACCAGCTGCATTTGGGCTACTCTCCCCACTACTCTACCTGCCCAGTCACAATGCACTACTCTGTCTTTCCCCAGTAGGTATGGCTCCTTTCCACCCCAGGGCCTTTACACATGCAATTTTTTGGTTGGTTTTTCTGACTTCTCATGTAGCCAATTCTTTCTCCTGATTCATTTTCCCTTCCCTCTTCCACCCTGGCACATCACCATGTCTTGTCATTTGGCTGTCCAGAAAGCTCAATCTGGAGATCTAATTAAATGTAAAAGACAATACAGAAAGGAGGTGACGCAAGAATCTGCTCTTAAACAGAGGAAGGATTGCTCTGTCCTCATGAGCGCATCTCCCTTTTCTCCTCCTTATACCAAACCTTAAGAGGACCGCTTATTTTGTTTACTTGGAGGGGTAAGCGTGGTCGGATGGGAGTGGTGGATATAACTATCAGGTTCTATATGGCCACTTTCCCCTTTGCCAATGTCACCTGTGACATTGCAAAGCTGTCTCATCATTTCCAGTATGGATTTTGTGTAGGTATTCAAATCTCTGTGTTTTCTTAATTCTACCACACCCACCACTGACGCCTCCCGAATCTGGTCCCACTCATCCTTAATATGCAGATTCTACTTTTTCTATAAAACCTTTCCTGATATCTCCATCCTGCAGCAATCTTTCCATGACCCCTATCTCTGGGAACAACGTAAATTAATAATACCTTATTTAGCTATTGAATGATCTCCAATTGTTATTCTGTAGCTTGTCTTGTCTCCTGTCCTGGGCACATAGTTGATGTTTAATAAATATTTGGTCAAATTGTCAGTTGAGAAAAACATAGAGATAAGGCCATTAAAAGAATATGAACTGGGCAAAACTGCAACCACGCATGTGCACGTGCATGTTTTTGTGTATGTGCATGCTTATACCTGTGCTGTAATGACAAAAGCTCTCTTCCACGTCCTTGAGAGACATTACTAAATGCCCCCTCAGTTCTCTAGTCATCTGTTCTAATATTTGAGCAATGGGTGCTCTGCCTCCTCGCTAGGCCTCCAATGATTAGCGTATGGCCCGGTCAGTGCTTGCAAGGAGATCTGGCTTCTGACCTCATCATTAAGAGGCAATGCTTTCTCCTCTGGCACCAGACATCTGCTGAACCTATTTCTGTTTCCACAGCAGAGAATTCATTCCTGGTTCTGTGGCTTGTCCAGCCCAGCAGGGTGCAGGTGAATTGGAGGGAATGGGAAAGAAAGAGGATTCTGGTGGTCTGATGACAACAGGCAATTCCTTTCCGATTCATCCTTTCATCAGAGTGACTTACAAGGTGCAGAGTTGACTGATTCATACACTTGGACAGTAAAAATTGTATGAACATAGGAACTAGGTCTGGTTTCAGATCCCCAATACTTAGTATACATCAGCATTTGATAAATATTTAAGGAATGAGTATATGTATGTGTGTGCTGGGAAAGTCTTCAGAGAAGCAGAATTCAGCTTCCTCTAGAGATAAACTTTGTAATGTGTGTCAATGCCCATGGGCATTATTTGGCGGTCTTAGGCTATGATAAACTCCCCAGCTCCAGAGTGTGCAAACAGGAGGAGGACAGCAGCTTAGTCGGGGATGCTCTACCCAGAGAGTCTAGGCAATAAATGGGATGTTGTATCAATAACAATAATATGCTATTATTCCTACTTTCAATACTAATAATAGTTACCATTTATTAAGTACTTACTTATGTACCAATAATTAGCAAATCATATCTTACTTAATTATGATGACTATCAAAGGCCTTTCTACCCCTGAGGGCTGATAAATCTATCAGGTCCAATAAACATTTGCAGAGCCAGGCACAGGAGGAGGATGGAGGAAAGAAAAAAGAGGGGCAAGAAATACAGGCAGAATCACAGCCCTTAAATAACTATCAATTTAAAAAAGGAGACAGGAAACAAACTAGAATTCAAGGCAAAAAAAGATTAAGAACTAAGAAGAGTTGTAGACAAAGAGTTTTGGGAACACTCCAAAGGGAGGAGTGATCAGTTGTCAGTGGGGGAGGAAATCTTAGAAGGCTTTCTGGATGTGGAATTTTTGAATCTATAGAATTTCTATAGGTGGAGAATGAGGAAAGGGCATTTTCTTAACCAACAGATCAGGATAAACGACGGTCAGGAGTTTTGGTGTGAGTGTTATGTTAGAAATAAGTGTTTCATATGGTGTGGCTGGAGTGTCACATGGGTAGAAAGAGAGATGCAGTGGAGGAAGGATAGCTTTGTGCTAGATCCTGGAATGCTTTCAATGATGGGCTGAAGTGTTTGGATTTTATTCTGTAGACAATGAATGTTTTTGATGAGGAAGCAGTATGTTTTATTGAGGTAATTCTAGAATGAAAGTTACATTGTAGACTGTCTTAGTCTATTCAGGGTGCTGTAACGAAATACCATAAACTGGCAACTTGTAAACAGCAGAAATATATTTCTCACCATTCTGGAGGCTGGAAGGCCCAGCAAATTCAATGCCTGATGAGGGTTCACTTCCTAATTCGTAGAAGGCACCTTCTCTCTGTGTCCCCATATAGTGGAAGGGGCAGTGCAGCTCTCTAGGGTCTCTTTTATAAGGGCACTGATTCCATTCACAAGGGCTCCACACTCATGACTTCATCACCTCCCCCAAACCCCATGTTTTAATACCACCACACTGGTGATTAGCTGTCAGCATATGAATTTGGATGGGGACATAAATATTCAGACTATGGCAGATAAAGAATGATCATAGCTAAAATTTATTAAGTGCTTACCATGTGCAAGCCACTGTTCTAAGCAGCTGCATTCTGTCTCGCTCCACCCTACTAGTGTGTGAAATAAGTTTAATAATTATGCCATTTTACAGATGGAAAAACTGAGGCATAGAAAGGTTAAGCCACTTTCCCAAGGCCACATATCTGTCAATGGAAGACCCAGGAATCCAACCTAGAAGTCTTCCCCAGAGCCACTTTTAACTATCCTACTGCACCATCTCACCCTATCCTATCACAGTTCTACCTGGGTGGGAGGTTGAAGGCCTGAACTGAGATCATAGAGGTGAATATTTGCTTGTATTTGCATAAAGAAATACCATAATAAAAGTGGTCACCTATAGAGGGCAATGTCAGGGTCAAGGGACAGATAACGAGTAGAAGGGGGTAACACATCTCAATGTATGCCTTTTAATATGGTCATTTTCTTGCCAATATGAATATGTTATTTATTCAAAAAACAAGATGACACAAAAGAAATGGTACAAGTTAAAAGCTAATTTCAAGGAACAAATGGAAGTGCATAAGAGCTGGATGGGTTTGGAAGACAAATTAAACAGGCAACACAAACAAAGCAAACCCTGGAGTTTCTCAGTTGAGTGTTTGGAAGATGGTAGCTCATTAGCCTAGTTGGGGAAAACAGGAGAGTGGGTTTGAGGGTGGCCATAACACATTCAGCCTTGTTTGTAGGTGACAGTGGGCATTTGGATGTTGAGGTTGAGCATGATAACCCAGGTGGGGTGTTGACTGAGGAGATTCTTATGAAGATGGTAATAGACTCTGTGAGTAGATGGTAACCTTAAGGAGAGAGTAGAGAAGGAGAAAACAAGAGAGCAGATGACAGAGTTTAAAGAAATCTGCACTAAAGGGACTGCCCCAGAGAAGCTAAGATGGAGACTGTGAAGCCTTGGTCAAGGGCCAGGTTGGAGAGATGAGTACAGGAAACAGAGGGAGCACAGAGTTTCCGGAGGAGGGGAATGATTTCCTGGGGTCTCATAGGTTAGGACTGAGACAGGTTTGGGGACCAGAATGCTGAGCTTCTGGAGGAAAAGAGACATATCAAAGATACTGAGTGAGACCGTCCAACTGAGGGGCCCCTTTTGGGACATCCAAGGCCCTTTCTCCCAGTTCTGTAAGAGATAACAAGCAAGGTGGACACTGTCTTCAGTCCCTACATGTCAGCCAGTGTAGATGTTCTGTTTTTCAGGGAGGTGTTTTTAGACAACATACACCAGCACCTGAGGGGTTAAAAAGGAAACTGAGGCAGACAATCCTAGAAAGCTTCTCTGATTTTTTTCTGTCATCACCCATTCAGGATAATGGGAACTTATAATTTGATGTTTTTGTTTTTCATTCTTCCGTTCTGTCTTTCCATCACACACATCAATGCAAACACAATTTCACATACACATGCACACAGACTCACACACACACACACCAGGCAAAAATGCACAAGCATTTTTCTGGATAAGACTCATTACTGCACGCTGGGAGGGAGGGTGAGCAGAGCCGAGGAAAGGAAAGAGAGATGCAAGCCACCCTAGCTACTTTTACTCCCCTTTAAGGCTGCGTGGTTACGGTCCTGGGAAAGAAAACTCCTGCATTCCTCCCCTTTAATTGGGTTTATTGTTAAAGCACTGGAGCAGCTAATCCTCACAGACCTGTAGGAGCTGGAGTGGGAGCTCAAGCAGGATTCTTCCCGAGTCCCTGGGTAAGACAACCCTGCTTCTTTTCTTGGCTTTAGAGGGTCTCCTTGCTTAATGGGAAGCGTGCAGCACCTAGTGAGTGGATTTGAAGAGCCACTTTGTAAGCAACTTGGGCATTTATTTCAGCCCCAGTTCCAGTCTTCCCTGACTCTTTTGGCATCAAGGGTGAGTTATAGCTGTCTTGGAAAATAAGTCTGAATGGGGGGTCCGGGTGGAGCTATCTGTCCGTCACTCCTGGGCTGGCTTTCATGGAAGCATTTTGCCCTTCTGGGCAGGGAAAAGGGAGAAAAATATCTTCATGTGCCCCTCCTGCAATGCCTGCATTCTAGGGACAAGGCTCTGTGCCTAGAGGGACCCCGTCCATCTGCTGGGGTGTTAGGACCTCCAACTCTCTTGCACCCCTCCCTCCTGCTCAACCTTCATCTCTTAACCTCTCTGACCCCATCCATCAAATAAAGTATGCCCTCTCTGCCGACCTCTTTGGGTTATTGGGAGGATTAGCAGAACCAATGGCAAAAAGATTTGTAAACAGCCTGTGGCTCTGCAAGCCTAAGGAAGACGAGTCAGCCTCAGTCCCTCCTGGAGGAGTCTGTGGACAGGCTTCAGGCTCCCTATCCTCAGCCGCGTTAAGATGCAGAACGCAGCCGAGCTATCGCTGTCAGTCACAAGACAGCTTCCTTCACCTTCCCCAGGGGCGCGTCTACCTCCCTTCTGTTTTTAAACTTCCCTAGTTTACCTCTCAAGTGAAGATCTTAAAAGGAGGTCTGGATTCACCACCACCACCACCCCCATCCACACCATGGCCCCTTCTCTCCACGTAACTTTGACGCACAAACATTAACCCTGAGGCTCCCGGAGATGGCTGCCAGGGCTCACGCTGGTCTGGCTGCAGTGCTTGTCTGGCCAGCCTCTTGCTCTGGAGTCAGATAAATTGATCATGAGGAAAGCCTCTGAGAAGGGTCAAGAGAGTCAAGCAGATTCCGCCTTAGGTAAGAAGATGATCTTTTCCAGATCATAAGCTGAAGACAGAACAAGGTCCCTGTCATTCCTGCTGACCCAAGCTTAACCAGAACCAAAGATGAGACCCACCTCTGAAACAGGCCGTAACACAGAGTGCTTAGTAATACCTGATATGGGGACCACACTTTACAGTTTATAATGTGTTTATAATTAATCATCTTTAGGACGATCCCATCAGATGGTGTGGCATGTATTATTTCCCCTTTAGTATAGATGAGACCATTGAAGCTTAGAAGTTAAAGGGTTTGCCTGGGGTTGCAAAGCTGGTGATGGTGGTGGCAACTGAACCCAGATCTATTGATAAATTCAGTGAACTTTCCACGATGCTGCAGATTGCTCTGGTGTGTGTGTGTGTGTGGATGCTTATTAAGAGCACTCTTCAGAAAGTACTCTTTGGGAAAGAAGCTTGAGGTTAGAGTGAGAAATGGTTTGAGCTGGAACCATGAGAGGCTTGGGGCAATAGACATGCTGTCCCCAGCCTCCATGCTGAGAAATCTGAGTGCTTTAGGGATTCAGCCCTTTCAAGATTGTCCGAGCCATGTGTTCCCAGGGTAATCAGTCAGACGTTAGGATTGCATTACAGCATCATAAGGATGAAGGTGGAGATGAGTGACATCCCAGCAACTGCCACCAGGAAAGAGGCAACAGGTTATGTGGTACAGTGACGAGAAGACTAGCGTTGGAATCCAATTCAGTTGTATCATTCACTATCTGTTTGATGTGGGGGATTTTTCTGAACATTTCTACTTATCAGTACCTCAGCTGTAAAATGAGGTTACCTGGAAAGGTGGCCGTGGGGCATTAAACAAGATAATGCATGCAAAGTGCCTAGCGCGGTGCCCCACCCAGGTGCGTGGTCCAGGGCAGCGAATACTATAAAGCCTGGGAGCGATTCTACCTGGAAGTGAAAAAGCATCCCCCTCTAAGAGGAGAGCGCCTCCCTCGCTCCCTCTCCCCCATACACACGCACACAGGGCCAGAAATAAATTGCCACACGAGTGCGCGCGAGTGGCGGCGCCCAGCCGCAGCCTGCCAGCGCCAGCGAGTGAATGAGCTGCAGCATGAATGAGGGGAGCGGCTGAGTCTGCAAACAGGCTGCGTGCCTGGCGCTACAACTGCAGGCGCGCCGCCACGGTCAATGGCGAGGGGGTTGGGGCTGAGTGGGAGCGGCTGCCAGCAAGAAAGCAAACTGAAGCAGGCAGGGGACTGCACGGACTATCCAGGATTGTCAAACCCATGTCCTTGGAGGAAAGGCTGGTAACTCAGAGCTTCCTGACACAGCCCTTCGTCCTGAGTTCAGCCTGTCCTTCCTTTTGTACTCTATCCCTGGTAGGGGAAAGATCCTTCCTCTCCCCTTCTGGAAGCCAGAGTAGAGTGCCTAGCTGGGAAGGTTAATAGTAATGAGCGTCCAACCTGTACAAAAGAGGCACCTCTTGCATGGGATTGGGCTTGAAGGCGGTGTGTGACACACAGTCAGCGTTAACCTTGAAAACTCCTTAGAAAAGTGCCCCAGTGGAGACCTGCATATCACCTGTGAAAAAAACCAACAGAAGTATTATTTCCTCTCTTGTTGCAACAGTTCCCTGTTTTCTTGGTTGAGTACCAGATGAAGTAGTTGGCTTGCATTCAGGCTATGATGTACGAAAAATCATATATCTTTAAACACTTTAGAAACACAGTGAGATGAGATGCTCACACTGTGAAAGGCACGTGGGAGCTGGAACCAGCTGAAGAAATAGCAGATTCCTGTCTCCTGTCCTGTGCTCACCCTGTTTAAGTCCTTATTGGTTTCCCTTTCTCTTTCTCCAGTGCTTAGTGTTTAATTCATGTGCCTATAATGTGGACCCACTGCATGGCACTTTAGAGGTTGCAAACTGCTTTTGTGCCCATTGAAGCATTAGCCCTCCAAAGGAATGCTGAGAAATAGAGCAGGGATCATTATTCACATTCAGCAGATGAGGAAACCAAGGCCCAATATACTTAGCAGCACACTAAGAATAAGCAGCATACCCTGCTCTCTACAATGGCCCCTGTGTGTTGACCTCTCAGCTACCGCATGAAGCCCTAGAGAATGATCTTCACATCCTCTGTAAGAAGCACACAGTAAACCATAAGCAACACATAAATTATGGCTTGTCACTGCAGCAGGAGAGATTTTGTTAAACTTAAATGTAGGTTTGCGCCTTAAATAAACTGCAGGCAACAATTGAAAAACCTTCTCTCTGGGTCATTTTGTGAACAGAAATTGGCATGCAGAGTTGATCTTTGAAATGCAGAATGGCAGTGGCAGAAGGGCTGGGAAATGGAGTGGGTGGTCCTTGGAGTTTCTCTCCAGCCAGAAGCTTCCTGAAGCCTTTAGGTTCCAGAGCCTCAGCTTTGGCAAGCAGATGAGCCACTTGGGTTGCAACCCGTGAACTGGAAGTGAGTTCTGACACAGGCCCAGCCATTCACCTATGACACCACAAGGAGGGTGAAACTGTGACTGATGGCAGAGGGCTGCTCGAAATTTCATCTATCCCTGCAAAATATGAAGAATTACAAAGCATTAGAGATGGCCTAGTCTACATTTTCCAAAGGATGCTCTGAGAAACCCTAGATCCCCGGCACACTAATATTAGTGTTACAGAAGGAAAGAATTTCACTATCTACGAAATTTGGGAAATGCCAGATTAAACAGCATGTGTCTTTAATGGTCCTCAGAGCCTTTAATAAGCTAATGTGGATTGTGAATCTCCAAGAAGGGGGCCAGAGGAGGTAGCAAATCCACCCTACTCACAGAGAGTCACCCAGGACTAAGATACTGAAAAGCAAACTTCAGGGAACTTTAATCTAGTCCAATCTCCTCTGTTCACCAGAGAGGAGGATGGAAACTCAGGGATGTATGGTGATCTGCCTGGGGCTGCACAGCTACGGGATATCAAACCAAGACTGGAACAAGTCTGGGTTCTTTCTGGTATTCTTTTAACCCAGTGGATGATATAAAGTCCAATATGGACCAGAGTCTAGAAAATTGTGTGACCCAGCAAGAAAACTTCCCAACTTTTGCCTTTTACCCTTTTGTAACCAAGCGCTGATAGATTTCCATGATTCGGTGTGCCCCAGCCTGGAGGCAGAGAGCACATTCTTATTAGAGATGATCCAACTGATAACCTCCCTCCCAAGGCCCATAGGCTTTTCTGAGTCATGCTCCCAAAGAATGGAAAATCCCGGAAGCAGAGACTATAAAGCAGTCTTAGGGTAGACTGATTCCTCTAAGGTCAGTAAAAGAGCCAGGCATGATCCAGAAGGCTCTGAGCCTGCTCACTATGCCCCAGAGTGATTCATGCCTCCTTGCTCAGAAGCCCCTAGTGACAGCACCAGCAAAAGGAGGGTGGCTCTTCCCATGGGTAGAATTGAGAACCATTATCTGTGAGCTTAAGATTGCAGAGGTGCTACTCAAAGATGCTCTCCTTCCCTGTCCCCATATCCTCTGGTTTGTCCATGCCCAGTTTAGGAACACTATGATTGTTCCTACACTGTACACACATTGTAATGGATTGGAGTGGATTGGATTAGAGTGGAGCGGAATGGATTGGATTGGATTGGATTGGATTGGATTGGATTGGATTGGATTGGATTGGATTGGATTGGATGGAAAGCCTTTGAATTATAACGTGATGCTCCTAAGACTCTGGATCACCTAATTAGGAGCGTAACAGTTTTAAGCTATTAGCCCAGCTGATACGTTTAATAAGCACCTCAGGGCAGGTCCCTAAATGGCTGCAACTCAAATAGAAAACTTTGGGTAGGTAGGCCACATGGAGAGTGGGGCAGACATGAGAGTGCAGAGAGAGAATCCGGCCAGTGTGGGGTCATGAGGTGACCTGGCAGTTTTAGGGTATATGACCACAGTGAGGAGGCCACTGCAGACAAAGCTTATCTGCCTGAGAGTTCCATCTCGGGCTAGTGGTGCTCCCTTTACTAAATGAAGCTGGAAAAGGAGGAAGGACAGAGAAGCTCCATGGAAGGGGCATCTGCCTCCTGGGCTCATGGCCCAAGCATCTCTCACCAGCTTCTCATAAGCAAGCATCACACAGCCTGCCACTGGGAGCATGGAAAGGGCTGCACTCAGAGGCAGCGTCCACCCCAAGGCTGTACTGCCTGCCCTTTAGGAAGAACTTTCCCCTCTGTAGCCTCCTCCACAGCTGCAGAGTTTTCCCCCAAGAGGCCAGGAAGTTCATCCAAAAAATACAATTGAGCCGAAGCTAGGAGGCAGGTACTGCACTAGCCCCAAGGGAGGCAACAAGATAGCCAAGGTCTTTGTCTGTGTGGAGTTACTTCCTATAGAGGAGATCAACCTCAAACAAGTAAACAGGGTGCTTTGAGATTGTCATACTTATTACAGAAGAAAGGACTGGCTCACCTAAGAGAGAGTGACTCTGGGTGTGGGTAGACGGACTCTAGGTAGAATGGTCAGGAAGAGCCTTGTCTAGTGTTGCAGGGAAGTTCTTCTGACCAAGAACCAGACACGGATCCCATCCCAGGCACTAGTGTCCCTGAAATTATGATGACAAGAAAGAAGCCAAGCAGATTTGGCCTTCTATGGCCATTCCACCCTCTCCTGCTGCTGTGCCATGGGCAGAGCCTCACAGCAAGGACTATAGAGAGGGAGGCCCTGCTGCGGTCCCTTCCCAGGGCTCAGGTCTTCTTGCTATAGGCTCCTCTCTAAAGCAATATAAAGAATACATCCACCCACCTTCTATACTCATCTTAAGTCTAACTCCTCCACAATGCGCTCCCCAATCAACCCACCCCCAAGCTTTTCTCTCATTCACTCATTTAGCAACCATGGGCTGGACCTTTAGTGAGTGCCAGGAACAGTAGTAGGTTCTAGGATTTCAAAGATGAGTAATACATGGTCCCAGTCCTTTAAGCAGACTGGCCTGCATTCTTAGCTCCTTATTTATATATCTGTGTTTGGTCTTCATAACCTGATTGTAAGCACTTTTAAGGCCAGACTCCTATCATAGAAATGTCTATTTATAGCCCAAATTGTACACAGGAAGTACTCAATAAATGAATGTTGAATGAAGGAGTATTACCTCCACGACTCAAAGATAGTTCCATGAATAAGGTAATTTTCTTTGCTAGGAGCCATTTTTGCAGAATATTCTTGAGAATCTTGCTGTGCTGAGGTGCCAGGCGCCTGAACCAGCCACAAAGCCGACATCCTCCAAGTCTCCTGAGCTATCGATGTGAAAAATCAGCCCTAAATCTCAGAGAAATCTGTGGCGGCTGCTCCTGAGCTTTGAAACCCAATGGAAATTGTTGCCAGAAATAGAGTGAGAGGCGGGGAGTACTTTGGAAACAAATGAGAGCAATATTGGAGCTTCAAGCTCCTTAGAATTTGTTTTCTTTTCCTCTGAAAAGGCCTAGATTACAGAAGTCAAGAGAGGAGGGGGAGGACTTTAGCAGAAAGAAGCAGGATGCAGCCATGGAAGGAACATGGGCACCCCTTTCAAAGCCCACTGTTCAGACCTCCACCACACAGGGCATGGGAGTCTTGAGGCGATCACTCTGGTTACAGAGGGGTGGGAAGGGAAAGCCAAAGCTATGGGGGTTTCAGATCTGGGCCTTTGAGTTTTCCACATTGCACTGAAGATGGAACTAAATGGTTAGGATTCAGTGTATGGGAGGAGGAGTGGGCGGGAAAGATGTTTTCTCATAGCCTAGCTTCGGCTAAGAATACTATGTTTTTAAAGCTATTTAAGAGAGAAGGGAAAGAAGGAACAGTGAGTACAGATCTGCTAATGAGGTGGTGCAGCCTCCTGGAGAACAGGCCGTCATTCCATGGAAGCTCCAGAAGAGGGAGTGATGGACGCCTGGCTCTTGGTCCCAGAGCTGGAAGGCGGCTCTTCATTGGCTGGAAAAGCAGCATCCACAGCCCTGTTGTTCTGTGGAGAGGGGAGAGAGCAAGGATGGGGGAGGCACATAGGCGGCTGATTTTGCTTTGTTAAATGTTCAAACCTTTGCCCTCATCCCCTACATTCAAGACTTACCAGCAGCAGTGTATCCGCACAGCAAGAAGTATTTTTGATGTCCCCTGGAGACTGGGTCAGCTAAATGAGGCTCTTTAAACCTGATAAGATTAACATGCAATAATGGACAATCTCAAATTTAAAGTACCCCATTTTTCTTTTTGCAGCCTGTAAAGCGAGTGAAAGTTCATGCATTCTAGATGCCAAGCACCCTGATAAGTGGAAGCTGCTAGATTTGGGACTCAGGATCTACAGAAGGGCATCTGGCTAAAGATATCCCCCGACTCTTATATTCTATCTTCCTCAGAGAGATCTCCACCAGTCAGGGTCCATTTGTCTCCACCTTGTGTACCGTGCCCTCGAAGTCAAGTGTCAGCCCACCACTGCCAGTGAGACCTCCTCTGGCCAGTGCCTGCATCCTGAACTGCTGTGGTCCCTCTGGGCTGCCACCCTGCCAAGAGGAGCAGATCAGCAAATGGGCCAGAAGACCCAAACACAAGCTACCAGATGTATATTCAACTAGGTCAATCATGAAGGAGTTTCTCACATGCATTTTTTAATAATAAATAGCCACCAATTATTATATAGCCAGGTTGCAAGTTGACACATTATTAAAATGTACACCAAAAAAATGCAGCTTCCTATTTCTTATAAATCTTTCTCATGAACTCCCATCCCATCAGGCAGCAAAAAGGGGAATGGGGAACTTTAAGTTTGAATTTGTCCATTGTAGCGTATAAATCTCCCTTTGGGTTTCAAGAGTCTCGTTTAGCTGACCTTATGCCTTTCAGGAAAACATAGCCTTGAGATGGCCTTTCCTCTTCCTGCTCTACTTCAAAGTGGCATTTTATGTTGTAAGGTATTTACTAAACCTTGTTGTCATATGGGAGAAGGGGGCCTCAGACTTCTTAGACTTATCAGGGACCCTGGATTCCACAGTCCTCTGGATCTCATCAGAAGCTAACTAGTGACCTCTGAAGTATGACTGGTCCCACTGGTTCACAGGGATCATACTGACATACTCTACTAAAGGCCCTGATCCCAGCTGTTTGCTTACCTGAAAAGCCCTGGTCATCACCGTCTCTTCTCACCAACCCCAGCCAGCTGGCCGTGACCTGCTCTACATCCCCTCATAGGGCCATGAGCCACAATGAGCTGGTAAATGTTTAATGACAGGTCTTGGGGCAAGGGGGAGGTGGAGTCAGGCAGAAGCCCTGATTGTAGCTGTTGCCACTGTCCATGGTGTAAATATTCCTATTAGGCTGGGATTGATGGCTTATACCTGTAATCCCAGCACATTGGGGGGCGAAGATGGGAGGGTCACTTGAGCCCAGGAGTTCGAGACCAGCCTGGGCAACAGAGTAAGACCCTGTCTTTGGAAAAAAAATTAATATTTGGCAGGCGTGTTGATGCATGCCTGTAGACCCAACTACTAGGGTGGCTGAGGTGGGATTACTTCAAGCCCAGGAGGTTGAGGCTGCAGTAAGGAATGATCACACCACTGCACTCTAGCCTGGGTAATAGAGCAAGACTCTGTCTCAAAAAAAAAAAAAAAAAAAACTCCAGTACTCCTACTGTGGTCACTTTCTAGCTGCCAACATTAACACCAGAGAGGTGCACAGCTGACTCTCATGAGCTGACATGAGCCGGCCCTGGGGAGGTTTTGGAGTCTCTGCCCAGCATGAGGCACTATCTCAACTCACCTCCTCCCTCGAGGCCTCCCCATGATTCCTCACTGCCCTGTTAGATGTGGTTGCAGGCAGCGCTCCTCCTAGGCTTAAAGCCTCCCACCAGCAGGGTCCTGGTAAGCCACCCCATCCATGTCACCTGTCTCCCAATTCCTGACCAGATGCTCTACTCCAAGAGAGCGAAAGCAAAGATCTGTGCTTTGGAAAACTACACCATCTGTCTCCCCATCCCCTTTCCAGGATCTACTTGGACCAAAAGTATCCATCTTTCCACCTCCTCTTCCCCTCTGCCAAGAGCCTCGCTTGTATCATATTCTTCTTATTCCCAGGGGTCTAAGTCTCATAGTTGTGTTTTAATGGCAGAAGAGGTTCCCTCTATTCCATGAAACCTATTTTACCACGAGTCCTCCAGATGTGGATTATCAGGAATGAAATACATCAACAAATGTCTCCAGAATATTATCTCTGTTACAACTGTTTAAGATTGTAGCAGAACAGAAAAAAAAATAAAAATAAAAAAGAAACAACTGTTTATCATGTGTATCAATGTCTGTATGTGCACCATTTCATTTAACCTTTACCATATCTTAAAGGGTTTTGTCCCCACTTTACAGATAAGGAAATAGATTCAAAGAGGTTAGTAACTTGCCTTAGGCAAGGCCATTTAACTGGTAACTAGCAAAGGTAGGATTTGAACTCAGGTTGGCCTCCAAAACTATGCTCTTCACTTAATGCTGAATTGTAGAGGAACAAACTTTCTTTTTGTTCAAAGGCTATTATTAATACAAGACCCCATAGAGTCTACAAGTAGTTTTTCTCGAGTGGGGAAGGAAGGTTATTGCCCAAGAGGGGCAGCTATTAGGCATATTTTCCTATTTCTCCATCAGGTTCAAGGAGTATGAGGGAGAGGGTGCTGGCAGAAATGGTGTCTCACTCATCACTCCTGGACACCTGGTACCCTGCCATTAGCTGTTGGAGGGGGTAGACAGAGTGGAATATCCAAAGGAACAGAGATTCCCTCCAACCATTTAACCCCACCCCAAAAACATGTTTCTCTCTAGTATTCATGAGCTCAGTCAGGGCACCCCCCAACCAACCCCAGATGCTCCTGCCAGAAACATGGGAGTCCTCTCAGACTCCGTCTGCCCCACCATATGACACATCGCCTAATACTGTAGATAACTGGACTCCCAGAATACATCCCAGGTTCATCATTCTCTCCTTCACTCCCATCTGGCCCGAGCCACCATCATCTCTCTCTTCACATCTCTCTCCCTTCACAGATCAGCCAGAGTGAACTCTTTAAAACATCAATGGTGTAATAACTCCCCTGCTAAAAATCCTTCATGTCTTCCCATCTCACCTAGAAGAAAATCCAATGTCTTAAACAGAGTCTACAAAGCCCTTTATTGTCCGCCCCTGCCTGCCTCTTCCTACCCACTCACCACCCCCCACCATACGGAGCTCACTCTGCACCAGCCACACTGCCCCTTCAGGCTCTGGAGCACACTATGCTATTTCCTCCCTTCCAGCTTTGGTGTTTTATTTCCTTTGCACAGAAGCTCCTTCACATGCTCTTTGCTTGGTTGGCTCCTTCCCAAACTTTGGGTCTCAGCTTAAATATGACCTGCTCAAGAGGCCTTCCCTGGACTTTATCTAAAGAAGACCCTCCCTGTTTATCTCTATGACAAACCCAGGTTTTTGTCTTTCATAATTTTCCCCACACTTTGTAACTGTACACGTATGACTTTACTTGCCCATTGCCCGTCTCCTTCAGGCTGGCAGCCCCATGAAGGCAGGGCCAGCATCTGTGTTGTTATCAGTACCCATCGGCACCTTGCACACGGTAGGTGCTAAATACATATTGGTTAACTGTTGAATAAATATGGTAACTCCAGAACTCTGATATAAATTTAGGAAATGATTCAATTTAGATTTTCGTGAATAACTATTTGCCCAGCACTGTGCTAAATGTTGTAGGAGTTACAAAAACAGCACAATACTCATTCATTTAACCCATAACAGGTGGGAGAGAGGTACTAGTGAGAAAAATTGAGGGAGGTGGCAGAGTTGTGACATTAGAGAGGAAGCCTGGCTGACTCTGTAGTCTGAGTAAACATTGTGACTATCATTTGGAAAACACAGGACATGCCTGAGCTGAGCTCAGATCCCCTCAAGGTGGATATTCCCAGGTTATCTACACACGTACTTACTATTGCCCTGATGTGAGCATGCAGCAAGCATAGTGCACATGTAGTAGGCATTCCATGAATTTGTCCTTGTAATTTTTGAAAGCAAGTGTGGAGATAGTTTCACTTTTTCCAGTTATCCAGGTTTGCTCCTAATCCTTCCTTCTGATAATTACAGAAAGATGTCAGTATTGCAGCCTGTTTTTAATCTTGTTTGAGAAAGCAGCTGACCAGACCTTTTTTCTCCTCCTTCTCCCACTCCCTGCAATAAAGCATCCTCAGAAGCTTCAACTCTGGAGGCAATGGGTCGAAAGGAAGAAGATGACTGCAGTTCCTGGAAGAAACAGACCACCAACATCCGGAAAACCTTCATTTTTATGGAAGTGCTGGGATCGTAAGTCCTGGGGCTGTGAGGTCGGGTGGGCTGGGCTGCCTGCAGTGGGAGGTTAGAAGAGTTGTTCTCTGCTGGCAGCAATTGATGAACTGGACTGAGGCTGCTGTGACTTCATTTCGATTTATTTAAGGGACTTAGGGAGAGTTTTGTGGCCTGGAGGATGGTGGGTGGAGTGGGTGGCAGGTACTTTGGGTAATACCAAAGATGATTTAATACATTGGATGTAGTCCAAGCTACACGGGAGGCTGAGGCAGGAGAATTGCTTGAACCCAGGAGGCGGAGGTTGCAGTGAACCGAGATTGCGCTACTGTATTCCAGCCTGGTGACAGAGCGAGACTGTCTCAAAACAAAACAAAACAAAATTGGAGCTCTCAGGGAATACCAGTCCCTTTCCCCCAGGGTTTGCCTCCTTCTGACCCACCTGCAATGACCCTCTCCTCCTTCCAGATCTGTGCCGGTTTGTGGGTTCTTGCCTCTGTCAGGAGAGGGGAGTTGGAGAGCACTTCTGGAGGTCCAGTGACACTAGAACTTTCCCAGTCTCCTCCCCCAGCATCTTCATTTCTCCAGCAGTGAACAACCTCTTCTTCTGCTCTAACTGGAACAGAAGGGACTTTTGAGGCCCAGGGAGCTCGTGGGTCACACACACCTGAATCAGCCCCCTGCACCACCATCCTCCCTCCTCCATATCCAAGTGTTTCAGCTGTGCTCTAGTCCATACCTCTGCCAGCCTGCAGGGTGTCTGAACCTGCACCTTGAAGATGATTACATGGCTGGCAGATCAGAGACAGTTTGTCTGGAACTGACTCCCCACTTAGTCCTGCCTCTCCCCTGGGAGGCTGCAGACTCTGACGCAGGCTGGCAGCAGCTCCAGGCCACTGGCCCCCAAACCCCTCAGAACCCCAGCTGGTCAGCTAATTAGTCTAGGCTAATTGGGCCTGGGCAGTGAAGAGCAGCCAGCGGGCTGTCCATCCGGGTAAGCTTTCTCTGTCGCCAATGTCACTTCACTTTGCACTGACTAGAAGGCAGTGACCTCGGGCAATGACGGCTGCCCACACTCGTGCCGTAGACAGAGAAGACACTTCTGGGCCCTCCTGGCACAGGCAGGTTGTCAGACTGTGCAAGTGCAGGAGGATCCCAGCGGGGTGCTGGTCATGAGAGCATTGGCCTTCCATCAAAGGCCTTTACCAAGATGGGAGTGACCAGAGAGGGGGTTTTGGCAGGAGAAAGAGACAAGCCTCATGAGTAAGTCAGAAATGATTTGCTAAGTGTCCCAAAAATCCAGAGGAGAGGAGAGAAGGGAGCCCAGGTTGACAAGAATTTACCATCTGCTAGACTTGTGCTGTAGGACTCAAAAGACAGACACACCTTCCCTCTTAGAGCTCAGTGAAGTCTACCACACAGCACCTAAACCTGGGAGAACATCGGAGTCATCTGGAGAGTTTATGCCTCCAACTTTTAACTGTGAAAATGTTGAAACATAAGGAAAAGGTGAAATAATGATAAAATGAACGTCAGTATACCCACCATCTAAATTCAACGTTGTTAACATTTCACTGTAGAGTATGTATTTTACATCACACACACACCACACACACACACACACACACACACACACACACACACACACGTACTGAGCACTGAACTATTTGTAAATAAGTTGCAAACATGATGACATGTCACCTCTGAATCTTCTGTTTACATCTCCTAAAATAAAGGCATTTTCACATATATCTACAATATCATTGTCACACTCAAGAAAGTGAACAACAATTCCTTTTAGCCTGGGTGATTTTTGAAAAATAGATCCCTGGTCTCAGACCCACTAAACTGGAATTTTGGGAGATAGGATGCAGCAGCCAGGAATCTATATTTTAAGTGCTTCTGGTGTTCTAATGTATCTAGCTCAGCAGTGATTTGAAGGGAGCAGGAGGACAAGACAGGAGGCATGTCACAGCTGTTGCAGAAGTTAGAGCTGAGCGAAAGAGAAGACATCTCAGTGGTGCTCAGGATGAAGACCAGTATTCCCAGGCTGCAGACCCCACAGAGTTACCACAGTGGGGCATGGTGGAGAGTGGACAAGTGTACAAATTATGAAAAAGGTGCTCTTTTATCTAGCCTGTTGTCTGCTCGGGCAGGAAATATAATAATTATCATATGAACATGTATGATGGCTTCAAGGTGAATGGCACCTGCTGAAGTTGTTGCACTGCACAACCTGCCCAATAATAGCAGGGGCCCTGTCTTAAGTGTCCATTTTCTGTGGTCTCTTAATATGTCATTCTTATGTGTTGTGTATGTATCTGTCTTTCACATTGAATTCCAAGCTAGACCAATACTAATCTTAGTGCCTGACACAGAGAGGTTCCATCAGTTCAATAAACATTCATTGAATGCCTGATAGCATTTTTCAAATCAAATGCTAATTGCTTACTTGTCCCTGTTCCTCACTATTCTACAGGTTTCTTAAGAATGGAAACACTCACCTTTTAATTTCCAGTGTCTAATACTCAGTAGGTGTTCAATAAATCTTGGTTGAAGGGATGAGTAAGTGAATGGATGAATAGAGCAAGCTCGGGCGGCTTTGATTAACTCAGTTCCAAGTGCAGCTGGGAAAACAGGAAACTCAGACACAGGAAACACCAAGTAATTTCTAATGCAGATTTTTAAAGTCCTTATAGAAGCTTGACTCCTATTGGGCTTTCATTCTAGCATATCCAGATGGCAGGGTCAAGGATGGCTCAGCTGTTTCCTTACTTAGATTCTCTCTCCTCTTGTACTACTGGGTGTTCTTCATAATGGTATTCAAATAATAGTGATGATAATAATAGTATCTAACACTTATGGTCTTAATAGATGTCAGAAACACTTTTAAGCTTTTTACATATATCAAGTCATTTAATCTTCTAAACAACCTTGTGAATCAGATACTATTGATACTCCCACATTTCAGATGAGGAAACTGGGAATATGGGAGTTAAGTGACTTTTTATCCCAAAAGCTGAGATTCTAACGTGAACAATCAGGCTTCAGCATCTGTACCTAGCTTAACTGCTGGTCTGATAGCCTGATCTCCAGAGGACCCCCTTCAAACCAAGAGGCCTGTAATTTGGAATCCTGCCCTGTATTCCCATTGGTTCCACCTGCTCTGTCTTCAGAGCCTGCCTCAGAGACTGCTAGGTTCTCTCTTTTGTCTTTGCAGATCCTACTGAATGAATGAGAGGTTGCTCAGCACCCTGGCCTCTGATAACTGGTACAGAGTGATCACCACCACCTAAAATTGAGAGACGAGTCTTTTTGTTCTCACTGTATCTGCACTCTGTCCCATCTGCTACCTCCAGCTGCCACTCCAGTGTGCCATCCTGAGTCACATTGAAAGTGGCATGAATTGACTCTGTAGTGGCTTCTTTTTAGTGGGCATGCCAAGTGAAGAAATCTCTCCACAGCTGCAGTGGAGTCTCTGTCTCTAGGGGTCATTCCCAAACTATAGAACCAGGAAATAACACCTGCCTAGCCCCTGAATCTGTGGTGGCATCTTTTTCTTCCAATATGGTCTTCAAATTAGAAAGCACATTAGCATGTCAGATACAACTGCCATCAACATAACTCAGCAGCGCCCACATGACAATGAAGAGTAATTATCAGTCCTTCCCTCATCTACCCTTTCACTTTGCCTCTAAGTTTGATTGTTTAACTTTTTAGTTGGAAATAATTTCAAACTTAGAAAAACGTTTCAAAAATAAGAATAACGCCAGGCTTGGTGGCTCATACCTGTAATCCCAACGCTTTGGAAAGCCAAAGGAGAAGAGCTGCTTGATCCCAGGAGTTCAAGACCAGTTTGGGCAACTGGGTTAGTCTATTTTTATACTGCTATGAAGAACAGCTTGAGACTGGGCAATTTATAAAGGAAAGAGGTTTAATTAACTCACAGTTCAGCATGGCTGAGGTGGCCCCAGGAAACTGACAATCATGGCAGAAGGTGAAGGGGAAGTAAGGCACCTTCTTCACAAGGCGGCAGGAAGAAGTGCCAAGCAAAGGGGGAAGAGCCCCTTATAAAACCATCAGATCCCGTGAGAACTCACTCACTATCCTGAGAACATCATGAGGGAAACTGCTCCCATGAGCCAATCACCTCTACCTGGTCTCTCCCTTGACACATGGGGATTATGAGGATTATGGGGATTATAATTCAAGATGAGATTTGAGTGGGGACACAAAGCCTAACCAGATCAGCAACATAGTGAAGCCCCATCTCTAAAAAAATAATAAAATAAAATAAGAATAAGAATGGTAGAAAGAATTTCCAAATGCCCCCTGCCCAGATTCACCTCTTGTTCACAATTTCTCCCATCTGCCTTCTCATTGCTATGTTCTCTGTAGATCTGTAGAGATAGATGTAGAAAGATGATTCTTTCCTAATCTCCCAAGCGTTAGTTGTGGACAGACATCATGAACCTTTACCTATCAAGGACATTTGTGTATATTTCTAGGGATGGGGTATTCCCTTACGTGACCATAGGACAGTTCTCAACTTCAGTCAATTGAACATGGACACATTAAGTGTACCTAGTCTGTCTTCCCTACTCCAGTTTTATCAATTGACCCTATTATGTGTTTTATAGCATTTTTCCCCTCCAGTACAGGTTCCAGTCTAGGGTCTGATATTTCACTTGGGTGTTATCTCTCCCTAGCTTTTTTATGACATTGGCATTTTGGAAGAATACAGGTTCCCCCCTTCCCTTTTTTAAATTTTGTGCTTTCCTGATGTTTCTTCCAGATTTAAATTCAGTATATGCCTTTGTGGTCAGAGGACTATATAGACTCTGTTACGTCCTTTCTGAGGTCTTACATCTGGAAGTGTAAGATGTCTGCCCCCTACTAAGTTTTATCTTTTGGTGTCTTCTCCTCAGAGGAGCTTTCTCAGAAGTTTTCCTGGTGAAGCAAAGACTGACTGGGAAGCTCTTTGCTCTGAAGTGCATCAAGAAGTCACCTGCCTTCCGGGACAGCAGCCTGGAGAATGAGATTGCTGTGTTGAAAAAGTGAGTGGGTCTTAGTGTTGACTGGATCACTATGGGATCACAACATTTTCTTCACAAATTACCTTCAAAAAGGACTAGGACTGGATTTCTGCACCCAAAGGCATTGCTCACTTTGATTGAGTTGATGGGTCAGTTCAGTCAATTAGCTAAGTTTAGTCGGACAGCTGTCCTAGCTGATTTTTTTTTTTTTGGCAACAAATTGATGAGCAAATCCACTGGTGGCAGAACTGGTTTGTGCACACAGGCTGGAGAGTAATTAGCTCAAAGGAACAAAAATCAATTGAGGGCCAACATCAGGAACAATTAATAATTAAGGAGGCAGCATAAGATTTGGAAATTAGCTTCAATTTATAACAAAGCAAATGGAGGTTCAGCACCCCAACCATCTTGATGAAGGCAACACTACAAATCATCATATGTTTACAGCAAGACTCTTACCACAGACCCTTGTGAAACCCTTATGGTGTACCAAAAGTGTATTAGGCACATGAACACAGGATCAGAACCACAAGGATGAGGCAGACAAAATTCCTTACCCTCAGGAGCCTATGCTGGATACAGAGGTGCCTATAAGAAAATCCAACAAAATCGGATGTGAGTCACACTAGCAGAAGGCAGAGTTTGGAGGAGATAAAGATTCATTTTGCCTATGCATATGTTTTTATGAGTATGAGTTATTGGACCACTTTCAAAGAAGATGGACCTTGATAGATGAGTCAAACTTTGTGGGGGCAAGAAAGGCAATGCAGAAAGGGAATTCAGGCCAAGACTAGCATAAACTTTAATGTAGAACCATGAAAGTGCAAGGGCTTTTAGGGAAGAGTGAGTATTGGAAATCCCTGAATTTAGAGTATATAGTATTAAAAGACAAGTGATGAAACTAAAATCATGAAATGAGACCTGATTACAAAGGATCTTAGATGCCATGATAAGGAATGTTGGCTTTATTCTGTGGGCAAAAAGAAGTCATCAAAGGATTTTAAGTGAGGAGTCACATTGTCTGATTAACATGTTGGAGCTATCCCTCTCAGGCACAGTGGAGGATGGATTGGAGGGTGCCAGCCTAGAGGACAGGAGGCTAATTATAAGACTTTCACAATAATTTAGGCATGGGTTGAGAATACAAGCAAAGGTAGTGGCAGAATCATATGTGCCTAAAAGGACTAGATACTAGAGATGTTTCAAAGAGAGAAGTGATTGGGTTTGGGGTTGACTAGTGAAAGTATACAGGACAAAAGCATAAAAAGAGACCCTGAGATTGAGCAATCAAGTGGACAACAATATAATTGCTAGGGGTGGAGAACAAAGAGGATATGTAGGCTTGGATGAAATAGAAAGAAATTGGTTGGAACATACTGAATATGAGTATCCACCTATCTCAACATGAAGGCATTTCATAACATGCTGGAGACACAGGTCTAGGATCCAGGGATATTAGGGCAAAGAAAGACTCTCAACTAATTGAGAGCAAGGACCATGTCATTTTTCTTATTATTGCCTTGTATCAACAGTATTTGTGCTCAATAAATGTTTGTTCATTGAGTGAATAATTGATAAATTAATGTTAGCATTGCCAGCTTCTGAGTATAGTTGAATTCATCAAGAGACAACTGACACAGGTCTATATTTTCTAAAATATCGTAAAGAAGATAGCTACTATTGATTATGTGTTTACTATTACCCAGACACTGTATTAAGCATTATGCATTATCTCCTTTTATCCTGATACAATTCTATAAGAGACACATACTTTTCAGACAAGGAAAGTAAAGATTTGAAAACTGGAATAAGCCAGCTGAAGTTATCTAATTGCCTGAGCTAGATCTGAACCCAGGCCTGACTGACTCTGAGCCTAAGTCCTTAACCCCTGTGCTGCACAGCCAGGAGTAAACTTCCTAGAGAATTTCCTCCTTTACAGGCAGGCACAGCATTGCTGCCTGGCAAGCCGAGCCCCTCTGCTAATATGATTATTCTGCTTGACTCAGTCTCTGAGTAACCCCAAACAAGGGTAATGTAGGGCTGGACTTCTCCACCATGATGCTGTCGACATTTTGAAACAGATAATTATTTGTGGTGCTGGGGGCTGTACTGTGCAGTGTTGGATGTTTAGCAGCATTTCCGCCTCTACCCACTAGATGCCAGCAGCACCTTCCCCTGCCCTAGTCGTGACAATCAAACATGTCTCAAGATATTGCCAAATGTTCCCTGAGAGGCAAAATAGTCCCTGGTTGAGAATCACCATCTAAGTCATCCCACAGAACTAACCCTAAAAATAAGCATCTACCTTGCTTCTCGCAATATCTTGGAACACTAATTTTTCAACACTTCCTCCGTGGTTATCCATGAGGAGGCTCAGCTCACCTGAATCCCTCCCATTGTATACAGGTTGAGCATTCCTAATCTAAAATCCAAAATGCTCCAAAATCAGAAACATTTTTAGCATTGACAGGATGCCACAAATAGAAAATTCCACAGCTGACCTCATGTGACAGGTCACAGTCAAAATGTATTCAAAGCTTTATTTCATGCACAAAATTATTTTTTAAATATTATGTAAAATTACCTACCAGCTATGTGTATAAGGTACACATGAGACATAAATGAACTTCATGTTTAGACTTGGGTCCCATCTCTAAGGTATATCATTATGTATATGCAAATATTCCAAAAACTCTTCTAGTCTCAAACATTTTAGATATGGGATACTCAACCTGTACTTTTTAAGTGCAATATTTCTAACATCTGAATACCTACTTTGTAGAATAACCTAGTGTTGGGTACTCCCTTAGCCTTCCTCCATTCTTCTAACTGTCTCTTTTAGTAAAGTTTAAAGAGATTCCTGGCATAACAAGGAAGTGTTTGTTTCCTGAAGGAAGGATGATCAATTATTCATTCAGTAAACACGGACCGAGCACCTCCACAGGAATCTTTTCTCTGGGATTAATTTGTGACAGTCTACTTATTATGAAGGCTTCACAGAGACCTAGTCTTCCTAAACATTGCCATCAAAAGCCTCCAACAGAAACTTTTGGGCTAGGTCTGCATTATTTGTCTGTACAACCTGAACCACATACCTTTCATCATGCACTTTATTTTTCCCAGGATCAAGCATGAAAACATTGTGACCCTGGAGGACATCTATGAGAGCACCACCCACTACTACCTGGTCATGCAGCTGTAAGTAAAAGGTGACTTGCTTCCTTCACAGAGGCCTGGTGGGGCCTGGGAGGCCTACAGGAGGTTGGTCGCTGGTGAGGGATGGACAGCAATTCAAAGACAAAAATGAAGACTTCATTCAGGAGGCTCAGAAATGCCAAGGGTCCTTTTAGACTGAGTGTGCCTCTGGTCATGGGCAGGTTCTATGTGGGCCACAGGGTAAACCTGGGCTGATTATTAAGCTCCTTTGCACCAGGACAACCCTATCAGTGGTTAGAATATTTCCTACCAGTCAGCAAATAGCTGCGACCCCAACCCATCCATGTCCTTCTGCTGCCCCACCCCTCCTCGCCCCTTGCAACCAAACGACCGAAGGGGTAATGCCAGACTAACAAGGAGTCACCAGAACCCTTTTCTGGCACTGTGGCTTCAGTCCTTTTGGACCAATACATGTTAATCAAATTGGATAGTAAATGTTTTAACATCACTCCAGCATAAAATTACTGTAGGAGCAGAAGCCACAGGTAGATATATTTCAATATAAAGAAAGATTTTCCCAAAACAGAGTCACCCAAAGTTAAAGACAGGCTGTGATTGTATGTGTCCATCTGTAGGACAGAAGTGGTGCTTCATTAGCAAGGTCTCTGCGTCATTGCTGCATCCAAACAACAGCTCTGCCTGACAGCAACTGCTGTAGAGGTTGGTCAGTGTTCATAAGGGCTCAGCATTGGGCTCAAAGACACTTCTGTTTATAAAGTACACACACACACACAAATACACACACTTGCACATGCACAGACATACACGCACTCACACACCACTCTGCAATCTCAGCGTGGCTGGACACAACGTGGTTTTTGGCTGATGGGCTGATTACTAAGAAACTTTAACGAGATAACTCAGGCCTAAGCACCTGATTAACTGGGGGCTTATCTGAGGACCTCTAAAGAGAGGTAGCAGGCAGTCAAGGGAGTGAGGTGGAAAGGGCCCCTAGTGGCACTAACAAGTGATCAGGGACCATCAGGCACTACAATGAGGCCAAGCCAACAGGATTAGCACACAGTAATTCAGAAGGCAGGGAGGCAAGGAGATGGGAAGAGTTGGATGTCCCTGAGGAGACACTAAGCCTCCTCAGAGCATAGCTCCAGGACTCAGGCCCCTCAGGGTTAAGAATTCATAGCTCTGTACAAAGAGTGTATTTCCTACAGGCCTTCAGCTACTATAGGAGCGCCCAAAGCCTAAAGACCAAAAGCCAAAGAGCAGGATGAGGTAAATTTTGATCGGAGAAATTCTTTTCCCTCATCACTAGTTGGGCATGGATGGCCACATCTAATGTCATGGGACAGTGGTAAGGGGGACTAGGAGGGTGAGAGGACTGGAACCCCTGGCTCACGGTTGAAATAGTCTGGGAATGCTTATCTCAGAGAAGGCAAGCCCTCCGGAGAGCATTTCACTATCTTTGTATACTTGAAAGGTGCACAGGAAAGGCTGTTATTCTTGTTCTGTGCAGTCCCGATGGGTGGAATTGGTAGCACTGGTAGAAATGACAGGGCATCAGGTTTCAACATAATGTGCAGAAACATTAGGAATATTCCAAAAAACACTCTGTCTTAGGAGGAAGAGTGTTCTCTGACACTTATGTGTTCTAGTACTCACTAGAAAACTTCTAGGCAAAAATAGAGTAGATGGTATTCATGAGATAGAAGTCAGACTTGATCTTTAAGCTCCCCTGGGTCCTAAGATACTCTACCATTTGAGTCTCAAAGCACCCCTAAAGCCCTACCTGTAATTCCAGCTTTATGAAGCCCAATTTCCCAAAATGAGAAGAGAAATCTTGATATAAGTACGGTTAGTCTCACTTGCATGCCTTCTCTTTCCTACTTTGCTTAATTTCTGTGTTACCTCTCTCTTTCATCATGGCTTCCTGTGTCATAGGCCAGGAAGGAAGGTGGCTAAGAAGTGTGTCCACACTAAGGGATTATTGGCTTCTTGTGCAGCCCCAACCAGAAGCATTTACATTTTAAAGGAAATTTTCAGAGAGAGAGGTCAATGCTTGGCCCAAAGAGATGACTGCCTAGTGATATCACTCCAGGTACCCAGAGTGGGTGTTCTGAGACTGGAGTAGTCTGCTGGCAGCCCTTCAATCACAGTTCATGGGGGCCTGCCTGTTCCACTGCAGCTGTGTCCCCCAAGGCTTCAAAGCAAACACCTTCTCATTACTTTGAGTGAAATGAGAACTGAATTCCTGTCTTGATCCTATGCCCACAGTGTTTCTGGTGGGGAGCTCTTTGACCGGATCCTGGAGCGGGGTGTCTACACAGAGAAGGATGCCAGTCTGGTGATCCAGCAGGTCTTGTCGGCAGTGAAATACCTACATGAGAATGGCATCGTCCACAGAGACTTAAAGGTGTCAAGGCGGGAGTCCTGGGTGGGAAACAGATAATGACCCTTAAGGAAGCTGCATGGGTCATGGGACATCTAAGCTCCATAAAGTAAGAGGGTTGGACTAGTGACTCCCAAGGCCCCTTCTGCCCTTAGATTCCTTAAACAGACCTTGGATGAGTGAACAATGGTTACTAATTTGCACCTCAATTTTTCCTGAAACTTTCACTATGCCTTACCCTATTTCAATACCAAAATAATACACACATTTCTTACATCCAGCCACAGTCAAAACCCAATGCAACAAAATATTTACTGAGGGCCTACATTGTACTAGGCCTTGCACTGGACTCTGGAGAGATCAGACACCATTAACCAAAGATTGGTTCTCTCAAAACACAAACAGGGTAGTTGGAAGTGAGGGAAGGAAAGGGTGAGTATATTAATGTTTACAAGACCGAGCAAAGTCAGAGCCATAAGCAAGGTGCAGACTACTGGGGTGCAGGTGTGAGGGTGCAGGTAGGAGGAAGAAGGGAAGAATGGGGGAGGATGAGCTGGCCTTGAAGTCAGGAGCCCAGGGCTCATCTTCCTGTGAAATTTTGTATCAAGGGGAAGGAAAATACTTGCTTCAGGTGGTTATATCCTACACTACATATTTTTTCTCCTACAGCCCGAAAACCTGCTTTACCTTACCCCTGAAGAGAACTCTAAGATCATGATCACTGACTTTGGTCTGTCCAAGATGGAACAGAATGGCATCATGTCCACTGCCTGTGGGACCCCAGGCTACGTGGGTAAGTCTGGGAGCAGGAGGAAGGTTGACCAGTTGGCTACATTCAACCACATGCCTATCATTCATAGAAAGGGGTGATTCTGAGAACATAGGGTTCAACTTCAGGGGCTATCCTGGTAGGACATCCACTTATAAAGTTTAGGGCCAGCCAATTCATCCGTCTCAGGATCTATCTCTACTGCTCCCAAATTCTACATTTTTAAAGACCGCCTACCCCTGAGCCCTCCAGAGTCCCTGCCTATGCTTTGGCTCTCATTTCTGCGGATAGACTTCCAGCCTTTGTCTTTCCAGCTGGACCAGGGGCAGACAAGATCACAAACCCAGAGATCAGCAGAGAGCTGAGGGGTTGAGCACCAACCCTACTCCTTTCTCCCACTCTGAAGGAGACATTAGCCCCCAGTTCTTGGGAGCCTGGAAGCACAGGATATTGAATTTGGGCCTGAGGAACCCAGAAATGGGCTCCTAAATGTCCACCCAAGGAAGCACTCTGGGAAATTGGCAAAGGTGGAGCTTCCTGCTTGAACATCCCTGTAGGTTTCCAGGGCCCCCAAAAAGAGTGAGAGCAGGCAGGGCACCTGGAAGAGTATTCCTGGGATCTACAGGAGACAAAGTTGAAACTCAGAGCATCCGCTCCTGTCCCTTCCCACTTCACCAGTCGTCACCTGTTTGCAGTTGGGTAATGGGAAGCAGAGCTCTGACTCAAGAGAGGGAATCTACCCTCCCAGAAAGGCAGGTCATTCACTCCTCAGTAGGTATTGAGTCCCACCAGGTACAAAGCTCTGGTAGCTGCAAGAAATACAGAAGGCAGCTCTCTACACCCCACAGGGCTCCTAATCAGAGGAAGTCATGGCTCATGCCCTCTGAAAGCTCTCTATCTGATGGGACAGACTAAATGCCTCCCCTCAGAAGGTACCCACAGTCTGATGGGAGACATACTGCCTTTGCTCTGGGAGCTCCTAATCTAATGGGGGTGACTCAGTCTCTGCCTCCCAGAGGCTCCCAGTCTAGTGGAGGAGAGACAGTCCTACACTGAAGATCTCCCAGTCTGAAGGGAGAGAGATCACACTTGCCCTGGGAATCCCCTATCTGAGTGGGGAGACAGGCCCTGCCTTCAGAGAATACTCAGTGTAATCAGGGAGACATAGCCCTGGAGATCCCCAGTCCAACAGGTGAGTCATCGACCCTGTCATGGGGAAACTCACAAACTAATGCAGAAGTCACAGTCTCTCTTTTCAGGAAGATTTAGTCTTCCCAGAAGAGACACAGCCCCTACCCTTAGGGAGTTTTCAGTCTCCTAGAAACCCCACCATCCCACAGTCTTCCCCAGACCTCTTCTCTAAGCCTGGCCTTCAGCTCCCACCCCAAAGCCCTCTCCTCTTGCCACCAGCCCTGACTCTGCCCTTGGTCTGCTGCAGCTCCAGAAGTGCTGGCCCAGAAACCCTACAGCAAGGCTGTGGATTGCTGGTCCATCGGCGTCATCACCTACATATTGTGAGTAGACGCTGGCCTGGGTTCAGCTGATGAGAAGTCTCGGAGCCTGCTTACCCCTTCTCGTTCCCTCCCCTGTCTCAGCTCCTCCTCCAAGCACGTGCATGTGCACAAACAGACACAGGCACAGGGGCACACGGGTACACACACACACACACACACACACATACATGTACACACAGCTTAAAAGCTTCCTCTCTCTTCACCTCCACCAAGTTTTAAAACAGAGCTCAGCGTGAATCCACTGCACAGCCACCTGGCACTCCCTCCTCTTGCACCCCTGCCCCTTTTACTGCCTATAAATGTGTTGCATCCCACTCAGTGGAATGAACAGTGAAAAAGAGAGAGGCCAAGCCAGGCTTGGAAGCCAGGTGGACCCTCTGTTCCTACATCTCAGCTTTCCCAAGGCAAAACTGTGGCCTGGATAAAGCTGGTCAGGGCCTTTCCTTTTCGCTCCTCTCCACACATTCCCAAGCTCTCCCTTTCCTAACCTGCCCATCACCTCTTCCCCACCATCCCTCCTCACCTATAGCAAACTTTGCTCTTAGGAAAATAACCTGGTTTCAATTATCTCCTCCATTTATGTTGAATAAGTACTCTCATTTATTTACCCAACCAATATTCACTGCCTATCTACTCTGCATCTATCCCTGTGCTAGGTTCTAAAGAATCCCGCAGTGAACAACACAGCCTAAATAAATCCTTCATCAAGCTTACATTCAAGTAGACAGTCTACCAACTTTCTTAAACATATTTTATATAGCATTCATAAGTCAGGGAAAGTATAAGGAGAGGTGGCAAGGGTTGGAGGGCATAATGTACACAGGGACCTTCTAGGGATGACTGTGCCAAGGCTTGGCACTTGCATAAACACTTTACGGGACCTGTACCATTCTGGAATTTGAGGCAGATCTGCGTCCTGGTCACACCACTGTTCTGGGACCTTCAGTGCCCACCTGTGTATACAGTGGGAGCTTGGGGGAGCAGAGAGGCTGGCTCAGGGAGGACAGGTTTGTTCAGTAGTATGCCTCCTTCCTGTCCTGCTGCAGGCTCTGTGGATACCCCCCATTCTATGAAGAAACGGAGTCTAAGCTTTTCGAGAAGATCAAGGAGGGCTACTATGAGTTTGAGTCTCCATTCTGGGATGACATTTCTGAGTCAGGTAAGGCCAGTAGGCATGAAGGAGAGATAACAGGCTCAAGGTAGAGGCTGCCAAGAGAAATGAGCTTAACAAAGGATGACAGTCCCGGCTCTTCAAAGTCCCTGGGGATCTTACAGAACAGGCTGCCAAGGAAAGTGGAGAAATCTTCGTCTGCTTCAAAGACCCGATAAATTATTTACATCTAAGAGCTATGCTTTTGTTTTTCTGGAGGCAGAACCACAGTATGCCTGAAAAGGAGATGGGGGGGCAGTTTAGAAGATGGGCCAGGAGGGCAGAGCCAGGTGGTGAGGGGAGAGTTCCAGACAAGAGCAGCAAAACTAAGGGGTTAGATATCAAGAAAGAGCATGCAATGTCTATGTGTGAGAGAAGATGATCATTACGTGATTGTTGGACCTGTTAAGTGGAAATCAGAGCTGGAACAATCCAGCACTCACATGCGTGCCCATGTGCCAGCGCTGGCCCCTGTTTCAGTGCAAACACATGCACATGTGATGTGCAGGCACATGGGGGCCTTGTGACTAGTGACGCTTCTGCAGTGCTGTGTGGGTGAGGCGGCTTGGAGCTTCCCTTCTTTGGTGGTTTATGGTGGGTTGTTGTTAGGTGGTTTGGATTTTTTTTCCTCTTCTAAGACTCTTAAAATTGCCTCTTTGGAAGATCAGCTAAAGATGCATTCACTGCCACCCACCAGCCCGGAAGTGAATTTCCATCAGTCATGAAATCTGGTCCTTAGTCGTCGTGTCTTTGATTACTCCCCTTAGCCAAGGACTTTATTTGCCACTTGCTTGAGAAGGATCCGAACGAGCGGTACACCTGTGAGAAGGCCTTGAGTCATCCCTGGTGAGTGAGACATGGAGTGGACTCTAGACCCCAGCCCTGTAGTTCCCAAAACCATGCTGACTCATTCATATTGCATTTCCCTGGAATCTGCTTGTCCTGATCCATTTAATGATGTGACAAGCAAGGACCATGCCATTGTTCATCAGGCCCAGGTAGAGATTCAAACATTATACAGTGGAGCAGGTTCTAATGCAAGGGTAGCAGCTGGGTTGTCTGGTCAAGTGCAGGAGGCAGGTGCAGCCGAGCGCTGTCATTCAGCACTGGGATAGGGTGCAATGTTCAGTACTAGTTATTCAAGAAGTGCCAGGAATGGGCAACTCTGTCCTGTCCTTTAGAGCTTTGTTTTACTCAGGGATCAATAACTGTTCCAGGTGAAGTGATTTAAGAACAACTGCAAAGCAACCGATTGGCAAAATAGGAAAAAGAAAATCTTAAAATATTTTTTCATGTTACTTCCCAACTCAATTTACAATAGCTCCCCACTTCATACCCCAGCAAGCCTGGATTCCTTTGTCTTTCCAGTTTCCCTAATATGGCCTGACCCTTTATCTCCAGCCTCTTTTCCCAGGATTGCCAGCATACCTCCTCTGTCCAGATAGGCCTGGGAGCTATATCTGTCTCACCCCACATACCAAGCTCTGTCTTAACTACACCTTGGATCAGATCATTCCCACTACCTACAATGTCCTGCCTCTTGCCCTGTATGTAGCATCTTTCAGGATCCAGATCAGTCTCTGCCCTTCCCTGAAGCCCCTGACCCCTGCAGCCCAACCCAATCTCCCCAGTTCTCTTTATTAATCACACGGCTTACCATGTATTACTGCAGTCCATAGCATGAACAACACCCGACATCTAGACTGTAGGCTCCTAGGGGTCAGGGCCCATGTCTCTTACTTCTCGAGGTCTATTAGTAGTTGGCACAGTACTATGCACACAGCAAGTGTCTGAGGAACACTTAGAGACCAGTGAATAAGAGGCTAAGGGGATAGGAAAGGGGCAGCCTGTACCAGACGGCCTTACTGAGGAAGGCTTCCAGGAGGAGGTGGGTTCTAGGCAAGGTTTTGAGCTAAAGGATGGTGACTACCCCAGTGCCCTGTGATGCTGGGTCCAATAAACTTTTTCTATAAAGCATCAGATAGTAAATATTTTAGGCTTTCCTGGCCATACTGTCTTTATGGCAACTACTCAACCCTGCTGTCACAGTGCAAAAGGAGCCACAGACAATACCTGAATTAATGGGCACCACTGTGTCCCCATAAAACCTTATTTACAAAAACAGGCAATAGGTCGATTTGGCCTATAGGCTATAGCTTGTTGACCTTGCTCTAAAAGTTTTTGATTTTGCCAAAGCTAAAGCCGACTCTTACTTGCCCAGGGGCACAGAGGAGACCTGCTTGCAGCCCTTTCCTGCTGTGGGCTGTCTTTCCTCTGCACACTCTACCCAGCTCTCACCTAGACCTGCAGGCACCCTGCCCACTCCCTGGATGAGTGTAAATAGCCACCCAGTAGCCAGGTGTCCCCTCTTACATCCACAGGATTGACGGAAACACAGCCCTCCACCGGGACATCTACCCATCAGTCAGCCTCCAGATCCAGAAGAACTTTGCTAAGAGCAAGTGGAGGGTAAGCTGTCCTCTCCAGGGGGTGGGAAAGCTGTTCTGGGCCCCTGGAGGCTGGGCTGGCAGGGGCTGACATAAGGGCTTTCCTTGGGATGTCCCAGAAGGCATTGGAGCTCCGTGTACCCTCTCTGAAATGAGAAGTGGGCACCCAGGTTTCAAGAGGCCACAAGGCAAAGGGAAAGTTTAAGCTCCAAGGCCCTCTGAGGTTGCAGAAGGCCAGAGGCTGCTCTTGTGTCTCCTTAGCAAGCCTTCAACGCAGCAGCTGTGGTGCACCACATGAGGAAGCTACACATGAACCTGCACAGCCCGGGCGTCCGCCCAGAGGTGGAGAACAGGCCGCCTGAAACTCAAGCCTCAGAAACCTCTAGACCCAGCTCCCCTGAGATCACCATCACCGAGGCACCTGTCCTGGACCACAGTGTAGCACTCCCTGCCCTGACCCAATTACCCTGCCAGCATGGCCGCCGGCCCACTGCCCCTGGTGGCAGGTCCCTCAACTGCCTGGTCAATGGCTCCCTCCACATCAGCAGCAGCCTGGTGCCCATGCATCAGGGGTCCCTGGCCGCCGGGCCCTGTGGCTGCTGCTCCAGCTGCCTGAACATTGGGAGCAAAGGAAAGTCCTCCTACTGCTCTGAGCCCACACTCCTCAAAAAGGCCAACAAAAAACAGTACGTATTTTTAGCCAAAGATGGAGCCCCAGCTTGGGTCTGAAAGAAATCGGTCAACAGGACTGAAAGAAATGGACACAAAGGCCTCTCCCACTCATAGGCAGCTATATAGGGAGGGATGAGTTCTGGATGAGGGGGCAAGGAAAATGCTTCCAGCCCTGTCCCCATCACTTACTAGTTGTGAGGCCATTGACGAGTCAATGTCTCTGCTTCTATTTTGCTCATCTGTAAACTGGGTTGAAGTCTATTTACCCAATTAGCCTGCCTCACAGAGGTACTATAAAAGGTTAGTGAAGCAACAGAGATGATAAAAGCCCACAGAAAACTGGGTATTTGCAAGTGGTGAGCATCAGATTCCCCGAGTTTCCAGGGCCTCTGTGCTTTGCAGAAGGAAGTGTAGGGGGGCTTGGTTATCTTTATCTTTTCTGCAGGTTCTTGAACTTTCTGAACCTCATGAGGGGAGAGCTGAGTGGATGCCACAGGCACAGAGAACTACCACCTCTGCCCTGCCCCATCGACTCTTCTTCCCTCAAATACTTCAAAGGTTGTTGCTTCATTTCCTTTCTAGGAACTTCAAGTCGGAGGTCATGGTACCAGTTAAAGCCAGTGGCAGCTCCCACTGCCGGGCAGGGCAGACTGGAGTCTGTCTCATTATGTGATTCCTGGAGCCTGTGCCTATGTCACTGCAATTTTCAGGTTAGGAGGGTCACAGTGTGAGGCTTGGGGAGAGTTTCTGTCCCAGAGGAGAGCCCCATGCCAGAGTGTGAGTGATGGGGTCTGAGGTGGCAACCCCCTCCTCACTCTGAGCCCCTTTCTCTTGCAGGAGACATATTCAACTCCTCTGCTCTTCCAAACCTGGTGTCTATCCGGCAGAGGGAGGAAGGCAGAGCAAGTGGAGCAGGGCTTAGCAGGAGCAGTTTCTGGCCAGAAGCACCAGCCTGCTGCCAGCGGGGCAGCCCCTCATAGGAGGCCCAGGAGGGAGCCCCAAGGCGTAGAAGCCTTGTTGAAGCTGTGAGCAGGAGAAGCGGTGCCCACCAGCTTCCAGGTCTCCCTGACCTGCCTGCTCTATGCCCCACACCCTACGTGCCGTGGCTCTGTGCAGTGTACGTAGATAGCTCTCGCCTGGGTCTGTGCTGTTTGTCGTGAAAAGCTTAATGGGCTGGCCAGGCTGTGTCACCTTCTCCAAGCAAAGCCATATGGAGCATCTACCCAGACTCCCACTCTGCACACACTCACTCCCACCTCTCAAGCCTCCAACCTCTTGGCCAGATTGGGCTCATTAATGTCGTTGCCTGCCCATCTGCATGAATGACAGGCAGCTCCCCATGGTGGTCTGCCTGTGAGCTCTTCAAGTTCTAATCCTTAACTCCAGGATTAGCTCCCAAGTGCGCTGAGACCCAGCCAGCACACTTCTGGCCCTTCTCCCTGCCTCAATCTAAAAGCAGTGCCACACCCTCCAAAGTGGAATAGAAAGAAGTTCATGAGTAAGGGCTGCAAGGAATTCTTATCCTGGCCACATGTCCTCCGTGCACACACCCAATGGAGTTAACCTTGGAAGTTGACTATTTTAATGTCTGCCAGGAGTTCTAATCCTGCCTCTGTTCCCTTTTCTCTCCTTGAAAGTCCAGCACACCATTCTTGTCCTTCCCCAGTTTCCTCGCCCTCCACCCCTCCAGCTTCATGCTCAGTGTTGTGCTTAATAAAATGGACATATTTTTCTCTATGAGGCTTCATTTGGTTCTTTCAAAGTCAGGAGCAGTTCAGGGACTTCTGAGCATGTCTGGAGTAGAGAGTGCATGGATGGCTGGGGTCAGCAAGGAACCAGCAGTTGTAGCTGATGTGCATACAGATGTGCATATAGCTGAGTATACAGTGCTCCAGGCACTGGACATGAGTTACATCATTAACTCATTACTTCTCACAACAACCCCTTGGGACAGGTTCTGTTGGAACCGAGGCAGTCTGGCTTTAGTGGCCATTCTCTTAATGGCTCTATTAGATGAGCATGAGTTCGAGCCCCAGCTCTGCCCCGACCTGCCATATCTGTGACCTTGGGGAAGTTACTTAGTCTTTCGTGCCTTGGTTTCCTCACTTATCCAATGGGAATAGCAGTGCCACCTGCATCATGAAATGATGCAGATGATGTGCCCAGCCTCGTGGCCAATAAATAATCAAAATGATTAACAATGATCAAGAAGTTAATGTAGATAAAATGTCTAGCACAGTGCCTGCTTGGGCCATGGTTAACACACAAATGTCCATGCCATTCCATATCATCCTCCACCCCACCCCCCACACATATCCATTTACAACTTCTCTTTAAGACCCCAAGAGACATAGATTCTAGTCTTAGTCCTTCCTCTGGAAGCTGCATGAATTTGAACGTTCCTTCCCTTCCCTGGATTTCTATTTCCCCATCTGTAAGCAAGAAGTTGAATCGCTGCTTAGAGATGAAAACTGCTTCTCTGGTCTCTCAAGGATAGAATCCATCAGGTTCTAGGGCAGAGGGGCCCAGACTCCCTAAATCTGGGTGCCCAGAAAGCCGGGTGGAACAGAGGAGAGCAAAATATGGGCTTGAATAGAGGAGTCCCCACAAACCCCAAATGGGAGACAGAAACAGTGGCAAGAGTTTACCCAGTGAGGGGACAGACTGTTTTTCCTCGTTGAACCTCCAGGCTCTTTTCCAAAGATTTTTATTTGGCTTTTCATTTTTACATCACTTTTGTTAAGTTTTTGTGCTTGGTCCAGGATTCCTCCCCAGTGGAGAACTAAAGGCGGGGGATACTGCCCAGCCCAGCTTCCTTGACTTGAGAGCTCTTAGTTTCAATGGCATGCCAATCTCCACCATCTTTGTCTGTCAAGTGTAACTGTCCCATTGGCTCAGGCTCAGCTGCAGCTCAGGGTAATCTTACTAGCTACACACCAGGGGTGGTCCAGGCTGTACTTTAGGCTGCATGAAAGTCTCCTGGAGATGGAAAGCATTCCAACCCAATCTGCCCCCAACCAAAAGCAAAGGCGGCAGATGAGTGGGGCAACGGGCTGGAAGCTGTAGCATCACTTGCAGGTGGCATAGTAGAGCACGCGCCCATTGATGTGGTCACGGATCTGCTCCACACGCTTCTCCAGTCCTGTCAGGTCCGCTGAGCGCAGCATGATGGCCTGGCTGCCCCGCAGCAGCTCCAACTCCATGTCTGAGGCAAATGGAACAGCAGCAGGAGGAGGAGTTGATGGTGAGACTCCCCAAGACTCCCAACCCTTCCTTCCCCTCCTGCT
Source organism: Homo sapiens (assembly GCF_000001405.40). Classification (NCBI taxonomy): domain Eukaryota; kingdom Metazoa; phylum Chordata; class Mammalia; order Primates; family Hominidae; genus Homo; species Homo sapiens. The sequence goes on from NC_000001.11 coordinate 209,615,490, forward strand.
AACTGGAGGTAGCATGTGTAGAGGAATCCCCTCCAGAAAAATCTGGCCTCTAAAGCAGTGGTGCCCCTCCAGCTTCATGCCTCTCCAGCCCCATCCCATGCTTAGTAACCTGGCAGGGGCCAAACCCAGCAGGCTCCCACTCCTAATTATCCCTGGGCCCCTGACCCTCTGGGCTCTCACAGTTGTCCAAGGCTAATGAAGGAGGTCACAAACACCCATCATCATATCTTAGCGATGACTCTAGTTCCCAGGAGCCCCTGTTCTCCTTTCTAAGGAATTTTTGGAACCCTTTTGAAAGCTACTTTCATTATGTTTCTGTCATATTCAAAGCCCTTGGATGTGCCCTACCGCCTCCTGAGCTATCTACCCTCCTCATCCTCACACTAGAAGCCAGGCACAGGGACAAGTCATGTTGACCTCATGCCACTTCTTTCCTACCAGCTCCTCAGCAACCCTCTTCTCCTGTCCCTATGTCAGAACATATCTTGTTGGGGCTTCCCAACACCCTTATCCTAATGTCCCTCCTCTTCCTCACAGCTTCTCCCAGGCCTACACATCCTTCCAGGCCCATCTCAAATCTTCTTTTCTTACCTTCACTGAACATGTCTCTCTCAAATTATTTATTCCCTGAACCCCAGAACTCTTATTATTCAACCCCTATCAGAGACCACCTCATCCTGTTAAATATAATTCTATGCATCTTAAGCATAAAGCAATAGGAATAAAAAATATGACCCCACTGTTTGCAAAAACAGAGAAAATGGTCCCATTAATTGCAAGCTTTTTGAGGCCAGGACAAGTCATGGGACCATCTCTGCATTCCCCAGCCTCATACATGCTAGATGCCCAGAAAAAATCTCATTTGATCTCACTCCCATAGCACGGCTAGCTCCAATAAGAACGGGCTTCAGAAGCCTTGGGTTGGGTGGGACCAGCCTTCATGAATGCCCAATAGTCCATGCCCCTAAACCATTCCCTCACCTTTCATCCTGTCCATCATCTCCATGGTCTCCCCAAACAGCTCCTCTGCCTCTGTCTTCACACTCTGGATCCGGGCACCCTGCTCACCCAGCATGGAACTCTGACCCAACCGGTCCTTCAACTCAGCATACTTTTGTTTTATTCTCTCAAATCCCTGAAAAAGGTAGAATAGTCTCAGTGTCATTGTCATCATGCAAGGTCCTAAAGACCTGTGGCCAAAGCACTTGATATCACCCAAATCAATACACAGTGGGAAGGTGCCTCCTATTAGCCCCCAATAGCATTGGTTTTGCCTATTGAAACCCCTGAGCCACAGACTATGACTTAAACTTCTGTGTTTCCCTCTTCCCATCTCCAGCTCTTGACATGACCCACCTCACTCCCAGGACAATGTCAGTCACATCATAGGATATTAATAGTAGGCTGTCACTTAATAGCATACTTAGCAACTTGGTCACTGTGCCAGGATTGAAAGTGCCAATGTTCCTGGCCATAGCGGGAGCAGGTAGTGTGCTTGAGACACTGAGAATGGGCTCTTTGATCTTCTCTCTCATCTAATTCTGACAATCATGGAGCCCAGGTTAGGTTAAGCAAAGAGCATCTGTCCAGGCTGGGAATCCAAGAGACAAGCTCTGGATCCAGTGTCAGGGGACCTGCTTTGTAGATGATTCTTAGGCCTGTGAACGAGTCACCACCTCATCTGTAAAAGGAAAGGGACTGGACTAGGTCATCTCCAGTGTCCCTGAGCCAGCTATACCAAAAGCAGTGGAGGGAGAAATCAGATGCCTGGCCAGGTTTGGGTTGACTCTCAAGCCTCTTCTGGTTCTGTTATTCTAAGCACTTTTGAGTTTGTGGTCTTATAAAGTGTGCAAAGTCCTCCTCTGCTCAGGACCCCCTCACTGGCCGTACATCATTGAGCTAACTCCGCCTTCTCTGTACCTCTTGGGCACTCAATGCCTGCTCGCTGGCACCTTCCGCAAGCTGCTGGGCCTGGACTGCCTCTGCCCCCTGCTGCCGGGCTTGGTGGCGGAGCTCCTCCATCCGTGTCCAGAAGTCACCCAGCTGCTTGGTCATGCTTGTCACCAGCTTTTCTGCTGGCCGCAGTACCTGCTGAACCTTTGTGGAAAGAGGGAGATCTGGCCTTTGTGGTGGGTCTCATAGGTCGGGGGGTTCATCCCCATTTTTTCTCCAACTCATCAGGCAGCAAAAACCCTCTCCAACCAGAACAAACACAATTGCCCACCTCTCACCCCTCCTTCTGCATCCCAGCCACAAGACCAGAAAATCCAAGGCCCATAGCCTGCCCAAAGCTTGTCACTCTCCTCTAGAACTCCACCTCAGGTTTTATCTAGTCACTTTCTGGCATTTTCTATGCCTGGTGCCCAAATTTTCCTGTTTATGCCCAAATATGGGCGGAGGAAGCCATAATGCCTCACCTCAGCAACCCTGTCCTGGATAAGCCGAAGGGAGCGGCTGGTGCCTTGCATGGTGTCCTGAGCTTCCTGCAGTGCCACTGTCCCCTGCCGCAGGTTCCCAACCACATCTTCCACCTGGCCCTCCACTGCATGGGCTCGGCTCCTGGGTGAGAGAAGCAGCAGGGAGAGGAGAGAGAGAATGAGTGAACAGTGAATCAATGTGTGGTTCGACTCACACACCAGTCCAAAAGAACACCCTTCCCAGCCAAGGCAAAGAGCAAGGAAAGTATTAACTCAGTAGCTTTGATGTCCCAGGACCCCACCAAGCAGACGTGATGAATGTTCCCATTATGCCCAAGACACCTTCTGGGCGGTTTCCAATACGGAAGACACAGTCATGCAAATTAAGTTTAACCTGCACTCTGGACTCTGTGTACCACTCTCCACCATGGTAAGCACCCCCTCCTGTCTCCCAGCCCTCTGTACCCCTCTCCCAGCAACGGGGTTGAGGAGCAAAACGCCAGCTTAATCCTGGGCAGAGAGAAGTTCAGGGCCCAAGGCCATACCTGGCTTCCTCAGCCTCAGCCTGCAACCGGCGGGCACGCGCAATGTCCTGCTTGGTCTGGGACAGCACCAAGTCCACGTTGGGGAGCCTGGCTGCAATGGCCTGGATCTCATTCATCTTCTGCAGAACAGTAGCTGAGTCTGTGGGCAGCCACAGGGCCAGCACGGCCTCGCTGACCTCCTGGATAGTGGCTGCATCAGTGTCGGGGTCTGGAAGACAACACGCATTTGACTGTAGGAGCCCACTAACCTCCCCAGAGATACGAGGCCTCTCCTAGCTGAGCAGCACTTGTGGAAGGCACCCACAGTGGCCCCTCTACCGTGGTGTCCCAAGGAGCTGCTGCCCCCTTTCAACCAGACTCAGGCGCCTGTTCTCCAGGGATTTCTGGGAATGCTGTAGGAGGATGACTATCCTGTGCTCCATGCTGCAGCAGGGAGGAGGAGGGGTGTCGTCACAGCTGTGCCAACTAAGTGTCTGGTGCCACAGGAAGCTGCGGGCTGGGGAGAAGGAGGTGGTGCCAGACAGCTGGTACTGAACAATGCCTGCAGCACATGCACAATCAGCCCTAAATTGGGAAGAGTGGCCAGAAACTGGAGCTGCTTCCTTGGCAAAAAGACCCCTTCCCTGCATTCCCCCTCAGGCAAGATTGCTCATTTGTGCAAAGGCAAATAAGAATGATCAAGTCTCTGCTGGAATATCACCTTCTCAGGGAGGCCAACCCCAGCCATCCAATCTAGAATTGCAACCTCCACCCTGGACTGTAGCACACCTTATCGTCCCTCCCTGCCTTATCTTTCTGTCTAGCACTTGCACCACCCATGTGCCAAACACTGTACTCATTTAACTGGTTTGTTTGGTCTCTTTTCCTCTAGAATGTAAGCTCTACAAGGGCAGGGCCTGGGTTTTGTCCACAGCTATATCCCCAGACCCCAGCACAGTGCCTGGCACTTGGAGGTCCTCATGTGCGTAGAGTGAATGAATGATTGACAGGGCTTCAGGTTCAGATCTCTGCTTTACTATTCAAGCCACCTGGGCAAGTCAAGTGGTTCCTCTAAGCTCAGTTTCCTGATCGGTGAAAAAGGAATATCAATCCCCAATCTGAAGGTACAACATGAAACAATCCATTTGCAAGAGTTGTTACAAACCAACTCTGGGTCAGAGGGTAAGGTCAGAAGTACAGAGATGACATCTCCTCCCCATCTCTCCCAATTTGCTTTTACAGATTTCACTGGTATTGAGGTATTAAGGAGGGGGGCACCCACTCACCAGATGATTTGCCCTGGAATCTGAACTCCTCTGGGGCCCCAGGCCCAGTTTCACTCTACAACTAGAGGATACTAGCTGGTCACACAGGTCTCATTCCCTGCCCCATCCCATGCCAGGTGGAAGGACACTCCTGGAGGGTGGAAGCCATGCTTGTTCATTGCTGTGTCCCTCGGGGCTTGCATGCAGCATAACTGTGGTTGAGTTTCATTAAGTGGGTTTATCCCAGCAGCAAGCTTTCATAAGGACCTTCCTAATAGAGCTCGTCAACCTCTCTTCTAACCCAGAGTCCCACTCTCAAAACAAGGCTTCATGTGCACCTTCTCAAGAAAGCCTTCCAGGATGAGCACATCCCCACCTAGATCTTGCCCTTCCTTTACTCTGCACCACTTCAGCTGCATCCTCAGGGTCAATCGGTATGACATTCAGTCGCAGAGCCTTCTGGGTCTCAGGATGGGCTCAGTAAATATTTACTGCTTTGAGCAAAAGCATGGGAGGAGTTGAGACTGCAAATCAAATTAAACTCAGTCCCTGCCTTTATGGAGCTGGAAATCTAATGGGAGACAGGCACATGAACAAGGAAGTACAGCTTTGAGTGAGCGGAGTAAACACAGGTGCTATGATGGCCATGGAAGGGGCCCCCAGCGCCATCTGATAGGTCCAGGGAGGCTGCCTGGAGAGTGGGATGCCTAGATTCCTAGAGGATGAGCAGGAGCTAGACAGGTCAGCAGAGGTGGGAGAGGGGAGACGATCCAGAGAGAGGAAAAACATTCGCAAAGGCAAGAGGCAAGAGAAAGTGTGTTTGTGTATGCACACTCGCATGTGTGTATGTATTTGTGTGTCTATGCCGTAAAGCAATAGGGTGTGAATGACAGAGTCAGACAATTAGGCTTGAAGCCTACCTGCACCACTGCCAAGCTAGATGCCTTTAGGCAAGTTGCTTAACCTCTCTGTGCCTAGATTACTTGTGTGCAAAGTGGAAGTAATAAGAGTACTTAGTTCATGTAGTCAGGAATAAATGATGTAATACATGCAAAGCACTTGGAACAGTGCCTGGACTCAGTTAGAACTTAATAAGCCTTAACTATTCATTTTGTCAATTCCATTTGAAGAACTGGGAAAGGCGATGTTTCCTCCTCCCTCCACAGACTTTCCACTCTCCCTCCCACACTGTGACCCTATATCGGACAGCAGCCAGCGCTCAGTGGCTTCTGCACCAGGACTCTGGAGACCAGAGTCCAAGCCCACCGCTACAGAAAATTTTCCTGGGTTTCCCCCTGGGGCCAGGCCTCTCTCAGGCCCTGCTTTTTCTCTCTGACCCTGGACTCATCATAAGACTTGACCTGAGATACAAGTATAAGAGAGAGGACAAAAGGGGCCTGGCAGCTCCCTGTCTGTTCACATGAGCCTCAGCTGCACCCGGCAGGAGAGAATTCCAACTCACCTCCCACCCACTGAGGCCAGAGCCCTGGCTGAGATTAATGCAGGATGAGTGGCCATTCAGCCTCACTGGACTTGACTCAGGGGCAAGAATCCCTTATCCATGAGCCTAAGCCCCACACCTTGACCTCCCCCATCATCCACGTTTGTGGGGCACAATCTCCCTACATCCCCAGGTAATATTTTCCCCAGGTGAGTGCCTCAAGGCCTTATGCAAGTCATGAGACCTCAGAAGAACTTTCCTGCCCCTCTCTGACCTGCCACCTGCACTCAGGAGGGGACTTCGGCCTATCTGGGGCAAAAACACTGTAATAGTAGCAAGAGGAGCCACTGTCATTACACCAAGCCCTGGGCTCGTATTAACTGGGCTCCCAGCCAAGCAAATAACCTGGCAGGAACCAGAAATCTAACAATATCAACTCTTGTTCCTGAGGCACTTTTCCTTTTTCAAAACACATTTTACATCAGTTATTTGATCCTCAGAATAAACTTGTGAAATACTACCGTCCCCATTTATAGAAGCAAAAGATGAGGCAAAGAGAAAAGCAGCCTGCCCAATGTCACACGAGTCTCCCGGGTCCTGTTTAGGGATCTTTCCATTGTACAGCCCTTCCTCACTCCCCAGAGCAGTGAGGAAGGGTGTCTGGTTCATTTATTCATGCCACCAATGTCAGATGTCTTTCTGTGTCTGGCCTTATGTTAGGTGCTGGTGACACAGTAGTCAACAAGACAGACAACCATCCTTGCCCTCCTGGAGTCCCCATTCTAGTGGAGTGACAATCCACTTGTTGACAACTGAATGAGGGTGAGTAGTGCAAGGAAAGTAAGATGATGGGGGACAAACAGATCGGATGGTCAGGAAACACCTCTCTGGGGAGATGACCCAGAGGACAAGAAGCAGCAGCCCTGGAAAGAGGACTTCAGGCAGACAAAGAGCAAATAAACATCCCTGAAGCAGGCAAGAGCCTGACATGTTCAAGGACAGCCAGTGAACAAAGCAGAGAAGAGCCCAAGGTCACTCCCAAGAGATGGACAGAGGCCAGGCTCTGTAGCCACGATGGGAGTTGAGAGCTCATTCCAAGAACAAGGTGAAGCCACTGAAGGATTTTAAGCAGGAGTGAGATGTGATCTGACTTATGCATTTTAAAAGAGATATTTCAGCTGTTGTGTTGAGAATGAGAATGGGTCACAAGGGATTGGAGTGGGTGGGGAGGGCAGACGGGAGAACGAGAAGGTCATGGCCATGGTGCCAAGGAGAAGTGGAGGCCTGGATGTTGCAGGCCTGGGACTAGGGAGGGAGGGCTGGCTGATGCACTGAACATGGGAATGCGGGACAGGCAGGACTGGAACAGCAGCCAAGGTGGGGTGGAGACTGGGCTCACCTGTTAGGAAGTCCCGGACCTGCTGGATTAGGAGCCGTGTGCGTCTGACATCTTCCTCCATCTGGGAGCGGCTGGCGCTCACCTGGGTCTCCAAGCGCTGGGCACTGGATTGAATCTGTGAGGCAGATTCCTCGGCTGCCCTAATCTGTTGACATACACTCTAGGTCAGAAGGGGTAAGGCCCCAAGGGAACCTCTCAGCAGCCCCACGATTCTGCGGATCATCCTCTATGCCAAGACCTACCTAGGAAGCATTTGTAACCAACCCAGCTTACATGTGGATGTTCAGTAAAAGAGAAAAAAAACTATCTTGCACTTGCTGTGGCACCTTAAGCAGGTCACCTAAAATCTCTGGACTTTAGTGTAAAATGGGAACTCTGACTTGCCCGGGGGATCTATCCTGTCTGCCTCCTCCTACCTGTGCCCACCCCGCCTCGGCTGCACTTACCATCTGCCTGGTCCGCTGGAGCTGGGCATTGAAGCCCCGCAGCTGCTCAGCCACCTGCCCCGCCATCAAGAAGGCCCCACCGGCCCTGGGAAGGACACCCCTGCAGCGGGAGCCACAGGCTGTGCCATTGTCTTGGGGACATAGCTCACCAGGGCATGATATTGGGGTGCAAGCCATCTGCCTGGAGTTGCCACAGAGCTGTGGACAGATGGCGGTGTTAAAGAGGCTACCCAAAGCCCCTCAATAACCAATCCCACCCCACACCTGGGAAACCAACAGCCAGACATCTCCATGACAACCAAGCACCAGAAACAGCCAGACATCTCCATGAGAGCTAAGGACCAGAAACTGGTTTCCTTGGCAACCACTGAGCTCACAGTGAGCAGTACAAGGGTCGGGATGGCTGGGGGAGTGGGGTTCTCACAGGGGCAGATCTGCCCTAATAGGAAGCAGGTGGCAGCAGTTGGTGTGTGACAAGCTGGGGTGTGGGCTCCAGGAAGTGGGACTCCATGCCCCAAGTCACCTTGTTGAAGGTGGGTGTCAGGTCAGGCAACGAAGACATCTCCAGCCTCAGGGCCACAAGCTTGGGGCTGCCGGTGCCTCCTCCTCCTCCCGCCTGCCGCACCAGCCTCTCTGCCTCTCTCCGGCTGTCCCTGAGCTGGTCCAAAAGGCGCGAGCTGTCGGAGACCTGCTGAGCAGCCTGGGCTGACTGCTCGTAGGCTGTGCTCAGCATCCGGAAGGCTCCTGTGGCGAGAAGCATGAGGAATGGAGATGGAGGAGGAGCAGGAGGGAGAGGGGGTGGCATGCCCACCACGGCAGTGCCCATGCCCGGGGTTATCCGGGTGCCCCTCTCCTCACCTGAAGGATCAGCACTGCTTATTTTTTCAAACTGCTCCCTCTTCCTCTGATACATAGTAAGGAGACCATTGAAGCTTCTGTCAAGACTCTCCAGGTCTCTCGGAAGGGACAACGTCTCCTCCTCCAGGGGCAGATCCAGCTGCAGGCCCTGGAGAGTTCGCCTGAGAAGGGAGAGGAGCTTACACTAAAATATAGGAGGGAGTTTTGCCTCCCCAAAGCAGCTATCCCCTCAGAGCAACTGCTACTGAGTCAGAACAAACAGAGACCTTGGGCAAAGGCAACAGAACAGAGAATCCACAGGCTAAGGGGGTTCCGCTGGACAGAGGCTTGGCGACCAGCACAATCTTTCTCTGTCCAGGTGCAGATGGAGCCACAAAACTCTCCTCCCTTGACTTCTATGACCCAACATTCCCAATTCTCCTCCCCCTCTTCCAGATCCTGGCTTCCATGAGGAGCAATGCCCTGATGCCCTCCTCCTTCGCTCTCTATGGGCTGGCTTCAGCTACCATCTGTACAGCTGCAGCTCCAAAATCTCTTCCACAGTCCACACCTCCCACTCAGCTCCAGATCCCATCACTGCTGCCAGCTGGTCATCCCCCCGAAGGAGGCTCAGAGTCTACCTCCCAGGCCCTTGGCCACTGAGCTCTTGGAGAGTCCTCTCTCCCTGTGCCCTTTGCAGCTCCACCAACCCAACCACCAGCTCCCTCCTCCAAGCCTCACATTCTCCACCTCCAGGCTTTGATCAGGCACAGAACGCCCTTCCATGGAATGCCCCTCCATGCCTGTGTTTCCAACCTACTGAATCTGGTGGACTGACTGCCCGAATCTGAGACTTAGGTCAGAAGGCACCTCTGTGAAGCCTGCCATGACACATTATAACATGCGTCACATTATAGTTTACCATTTACACATCATTCTCCCCAGTGCGAGCTTCTTGAGCGCAAAGATTATGTCATACTAATTTCAATATCCCCAATGCCTGTACAATGCTTGTTTCATCATAGATGCTCTAAAATTATGTAAAGAGAAAGAAAGAGAGAGAGGAAGGAAGGAAGGAAGGAAGGAAGGAAGGAAGGAAGGAAGGAAGGAAGGAAGGAAAAAAAGGGAAGGAAGGAAGGAAGGAAAAAAGAAGGAAAAGAAGGAAGGAAGGAAGGTAGGTTGGTTTTCAATATTCGCTTGAGTTCCTCTCCCGGAGCCCCCAGCCAGAAGCTCTAGCACATCGTGAGTCACGGAGCCTCCATTTTCATTCTTCTCAGGCTGCCTTTTCCTTCCCCACCACTCACACACCTGGATGGCTCTGTGCACAGTCAGAAAGCCAGTGCTCAGGGAATGCAAACTAATTATAGAAGCTTCCAGAACTGAACCTCACTAAGAAGGCACCTCTGCTGGTGGGATGGGGGTGTGGGCGGGACCAACTTCCATTCCAAAGCCACACGTGAGTTATTTTTAGAGCCCCTGCCTCTCGGATGCCCTCCGCCAGGGTGACTAATCCAGAGCTGACTCTCTCCCACAGGCAGCACTGGGCACTTAAAAGAACGCTGGGCTTGGGCTCCTGGACTGTGTTCTGAGGCCCAGCTCTGCCCTTCGGTGGTCATGTGGCTCTGTCACATCACCTGTCTGTGCCTGTTTTCTCATCTGCAAAACCACACCAGCCTCACAGGACTGTTGTAATGGTTGAAAGAGAGAGCACTGTGAAAATGCCTTTAAACTGTAATGCACTGTACAAATGTAAGGAAGGACCAGCATGCCCGGTACTGGAACCCCTGGAGCATAATTCTTGCAAATGCTTGGCAGGGAAAGGGAATTACCTGAGGGAGAGGATGGCACTGGCCACCTGAGCCACCTCCTGCTCTGTGACTGCGGGGCTGCTGAGAACTGCTCGGATCTGCTCAATCTTACTCTTTGCATCTAGGATCCGGGAGGCCAGGCCACGGTCCTCCAGCCCAGGCCCTGACCACAGGCTGGCGGTGGCATTGCGGAGTCTACCAAAGCGCAGGGCCTGCTCCCGGAGGTCCGCATCATAGGTCTGGAAGCAAGGGTGGCAGGCCACGCACACCGGGTAGCGATTACAGTAGCCTCGCTGGCACTGGTCACAGCGGGGCCCGGTCAAGCCAGGGCGGCAGAGGCAGCGGCCTGATGCCTTGTCGCAGCCCGGGCCCTCTGTTCCCCGGAAATCACAGTCACAGGCTAGGGCCAAGAAAAATGACAGTCAGAGACAGGGGTCAGGGAGACAGAAGCAGCTGTCAGGGAGAGCCCTGAAGAGGAGGTCTGACCTGAGGCTCTTTCTACATGACTTAGAATAACAGAAGTCGCAGCCAGAATAAAAGCCATGGTAACAGCTGCAGTGAAAGCAAACGCTTACTTAGCACCTACCATGTGCCAGGCACCACTTAAAGTCACACACACACATTAACTCATTTGATCTTCACACCACTCTGGGAATTAGCACTCTTGTTTTCCCACTTTTTCTAGATGAGGCAACTGAGGGACAGAGAGGTTAAGTACAGCATGCCTCTTCCTCTAAGAAGGAAACCAAGTCTAAAGAGGGGAAGCAGCTCCCTCAAAGTCACTCAGTGAGGCAGGGGCAGAGCTGGGACCACAATCTGGTCTGCACACTCCAAGGCCTGTGCTCCTGTGGTGACATCAAACTGACTCCGTGGGAAACGACACCCTTTCCCCTTCAGGACTCACTTCCTCCATCTATGAAGAGGGAAGAAACAGCCTCCCCTCCTTGCTGCTGCCCTGGAGATGGCTTCTGGGAAATGCTCTCTCTCTCTCAGGGAAGTGGGGAGCAAAGCAACCAGCATGTCACGGGGACGCAGGAACAGCGGGCATAGGCCTGCCTCAGGGGCTTGGAGGCCATGCCAACAGGCCGGAGTGTGTGCACTCACAGGGCTGCCCAGGCCCACACCACATGCATCAGTACAGGACATCCTGCCCTGCTGCAGACCTACACGCCCCCACCATGTGCCCACCCGCGTGCTCGGCCCCCAGAGCCTCAGCGTCCCCCAGGCTTTGAGCATGCACCTCGGCATCCTGTGGCCACGTCTCCATAGGTCCGGTCTGGACACTGGCGGATGGCTGCAGCGCTGCACATCAGGCCACCAAAGCCTTCCCGACAGGGGCACTGCCCTGTGAACTGCGTGGGGAGAGCACCGTCAGTGGACCCTGCCTCACAGCCTCTGCCTTACCCTGGTGTCAGGGACTGTGTCCTAGATTCCTGGTCCACAGGTAGAATCCAGGGCTCATGGCCACCTCCAGAGCTGCTGTGCCCACAAAACAAGGGCTCCCACTCAGAGATGAGCCTTGAAGTCAAGGCCCAGCATAGGCCCTTCAGAAGGTGTGGTGCATATGGTATTACTGACGGCCAAGAGCCACAGAGGGAGGGACATCTGGTGACTTCCCCAAATGAGAACGGGGACAGAAGACGCCCAGTCTGACAGGGGAGAGGCCTAGAAGGGCAGCATGGAGGGGCAGCAGAGAGGCTGGTGCTCAGGACCCCCCTCCCACTGAGGGGGCCCCCGGACCACCCTCACTTCGTACCTGGTTGCACTGTGGGCTGAGGGAGTTGTGCGGGTCGCAGGCACACGGTTCACAGCCCTGGCCACTGGCCAGCTTCCAGTGGTAGGGAGCACACTGGTCACATTTGGGACCCACCACGTTGGGCAGACAAAGGCAGCGCCCACTCTCCTCGTCACACGGCATGTCCCTCCGGGACCCCAGGATGTTGCAGTCACAGCCTGCAGGAGGAGAGCTGCTGAGCTCAGGCAGACGCTCCATGAAAAACTCACCCCCAGAGGACACACATCCAGGGAGGGGCGCTGCCTGGGAAAAGAACTGGGCAGGGCCCTTCCCTGCAGATGACATGGCTGACTCACAGGACCCCTGCGCTGTCCCACCAGTTCCAGCCACCTGGCAGCTCAGCCGCCTGCCTGCCCACCCTCCATCTGGCTGACTCAGTCCCACCTTCCAACTCGGACGTGTGCTGCCACCTGCTGGAGGCCAGTGGCACAGCATCTGGCGCTGGGTAAGAGGGCAAGAAGTCCGGACTCCTGGCAAAGGCCCGGGCATACCCCCTCTGTCTACCCTGCAGTGGGATTTCCTCTGAAGAGAGCACAGTGAGCAGGGCAAGCCGTGGGTCTGGTGGCCCCATGCAGCCCACCCCACGTCATGCTGGGCCAAGCCCCCTACTCACGGTGGCAGCCCTGCGGGTTGGCGTAGGTGAGTCCAGTGAAGCCCGGCTTGCATAGGTCACAGCGCTCTCCCTGCACATGCTCCTTGCACACACACTGCCCGGTCACTGGGTCACAGGGAGCCCCTGGCACTGCCCCATCCGGATCACACTCGCAGGCTGAGAGACAACAGCAGCCACCGCAGTAGGAACAAAGAAAAGTAGAGTTCAGAGCAGATTCCAGGAGCCAGGCTGCCTGGTTCAAATCCTTGTTCCACCACTGGATTTCAAATTCACAGCCTTAGTCAAGTTACTTAATCCCTCTGTGCCTCAATTTCCTTGTCTATAAAATAAAAATAATGATACAGCCTTCATAGGCTTCTTATGAGAAATAAATTAGTAAATGGCTGTGCGCGGTGGCTCATGCCTGTAATCCCAGCACTTTGGGAGGCCGAGGCAGGTGGATCACCTGAGGTCAGGAGTTCGAGACCAACCTGACCAACATGGTGAAACCCTGTCTCTACTAAAAATACAAAATTAGCCAGGCACGGTGGCGCATGCCTGTAATGCCAGCTACCAGGAGGCTGAGGCAGAAGAATCACTTGAACCTGGGAGGCGGAGGTTGCAGTAAGCTGAGATGGCGCCATTGCACTCCAGCCTGGGCAACAAGAGCGAAACCATCTCCATTAAAAAAGAGAGAGAGAGAGAGAGAAAGAAATGAGTAAACATAAAGCAGGGGGAGCATATTTGGCACATGCTAAGTACTATAGAAGCGGTTTTGTTGTCATTACTTACTGAGCAACTACTCTGTGCCAACCACTGAACTGGGAACTGTCATATGTTGCCTCATGTAATCTTCATGATAATCCTGGAGATTATTATTCTCATTGTACAGAGGAGGAAACCGAGGCTCAGATATGTCAAATAACTTATTCAAGTTCTCATTACAAGTTCATGCAAGAAACAGGGATCAAACTCAGTTCTGTCTCACTCTTCCCAGAAACAAACATCAACAGAAAGTGACTCAGCTTTCCCCAACCCCCACTCCCTGACTTCTTTCAGACCTTTCAAAATGTAAGACCCCTTCATCCAGAAAGTCTTTTCTGACTAAACCTGCCCGAATCTGATTGCTTCAGTCCAGGCAGCCCTCTCCTATATGAAGTCGCTGGCTCTTGTGTGCATGTTAAGCTGCCTCTGCCTGTTGCCTCCCATTACATTCACAAACACTCCCTGAGCATCAGTTATTTTCCAGTCAGTGTGCTAGGGCTAGAGGATGTGAGAAATAATCCTCGCCATGGAGGAGTTCTCGATGTTGGGAGAAATAGAAAATTAAATCACAAACCTCATTACAACATGGTAAAGGCAATCATATACATACGGAAAAGGTGCTTTCATCCCTCTTCTGCAGGTGTATACAGTTTATATTGCCAAACAGTGTGTGTGTTCCCTGATGGCACAAACTGTATCTTATGTTTACTTTTTTCTTCCCTATGCCCCAAATAAAGCCTAACTCTTGATTGATTGTCTGATTGATGGTCCAGAGAGGTTAAGTGACTTGCTCAGTAATAGCTAAATTAAAATAATCTCCCACAAATCCTGACTCACAGCCAAGTTTTCATGCTCCCTGAGGGCCTTGGTGTGCCCAGGAACATGTACTCTATTGTACCCAGAGGAGATGGGGAGTAACAGACAAATGACACTCTGGGACTCCGGAGCCTCTACTCACAGATGCAGGTCTCCTGAATGGAAGCTCCCGGGCGCCGGTTCCGGAAATAGTGCAGCTGACACCGCTCACAGTTCTTGCCTTCGGTGTGGTCCCGGCAATTGTCACACACACCTCCATATGCCCCCTGGCTGGCGGCAAACACAGCGGGGTCAAAGTGACATGTCTCTGAGTGCCCATTGCAGTCGCACCCTGGAAAAAGAGAGTCCCAGGGCTGACATCTGACCCACACCTTTGCTATCTACAGAGCATGCTCCACAAAAGCTCACTGGCATCTGTAACAACTCTGCAAGATGATCAAGGCAGGGAAGTGGGGAAACTGAGGGCAAGGGAGGTTTGTATAACTTATTTAAGGTTACATGACCAATAAGAAAGCAGAGGAGAATAAGAACTCAGCCTTCCTGATTCTTACTGTTGGAATAAACCCAAGAACAGTGGCCATGTTGGGCCAAAGAAAGAGCCCTTTGAATGCTCTATCCCCAACCCTCCCACTGCCAACACTGGTCTCCTCCTGGGTCACTGCCTGTCTCCAGGATGAGAATCTCTGTTTTCCTCATTTATGTAAACAAAGGGCCTGATTCTAGGGAGCCATTTGAAGTAGGAAAAATGACAATAGAAAAACCAGATATGTCCTAAACAGGGTAAAGCAACTGGAGAGGCCAGAAGAAGCAGGCTCTAGCTGGGGACAGTGGGAGGATGTCACCCAAATACTCTCTCCATCCTCACAGAGCCAGGAGAGCTTGAATTGTAATGGTGCAATTCAGTTTAGATTTACATAAGAAAGACTGGATCCCCCTGCATCCCAGGTGAGATCATCAAGGCCTAGAGGGGCCAGCACTCGACCCAGACCCTACAGGGGAGGGGTGATCCAAAGCTCCTACTTTGGCATTCATGGGCGTCCTGGCCCTCCGCCGGTCTCCAGGGCCGGTTGTTGTAGAAGGGTGCACAGCGCTCACAATTTGGGCCGGCAGTGTTGTGCTGGCAGACACAGACATCGTGGACCTGGGAGGGGGACCGTCAGCCATCAGGAGTAATCAACAAAGAAGGGCACCAGGGATGGACCTGCCCACTGCCCTCTGACCCTCTGCGCACCACTCAGGATCTGGCTTAGATCCCAACCCTTCCAGGAAGCTTCCTCTGAATGCCGCAGACTTCACCCAGCTCCTGTGAAACTGTCTGCTATTGTTCTGCACATATGAGCATGTGTGTGTGTGCACGTGCGTGTGCCCGCACTGCTCCCCTAGTGAGGTTTTTGCAAGCTCGCTGCTTGCACTTGGACACCCCCATGACACCCAGTCAGAGGCAGCGCTTGGCAGGTGCTCAGACACCCTTGGCAAACTGTGGGATCCAGAAGCTGGTGGGGCCCTCTGGAGATTTCTATTCCAACAATCTATGAATACAGTTGTTTGGTTAATGGAACTGTTGTGATGAACTGTCACTAGACTCATTAAGGTATAAAAATAGAATAGCTGTTGCGTGCTAATTGCCTTCCAAATTAAGCCCAACACCTTCAGCTTGGCATTCAAGGACCTGTATCATGTTAGCTGCATTCTCAGCTCCCATGTCCTGCTGACAGCATAGCAAGATGAACTTCTAGCTGCTCCCTCTGCAAGCCCTACTTTCTCCACCTTTTGGCCTTTAGCAATGGTTTTTCTTCTGCCTAGAATTCTCTTCTCTCTGTATTCATTCACAAAATCCTGCCAGCTAGGCTCCAGCTAGAACGGCACCTCTCTCATAAGGCCTCCCTGGTGCCTCTAATTCCATAGATCTCAACACTGCCTGTACCTCAGTGTCACCTGGGGAACATTTTTTAAAATGCCAAGGTCCAGACCCAATTCACTCTGAATCTCAGGGATGAGACCCAGGCAGTGGCACCTTTTAAAAGTGGTGATTCCACTGCATGGCCAGATTTGAGGACCACCAGGGCTGGGTGGCTCCCTCCCACCTCGTCATGTCATAGCATGTTGTATTCCCTCTGTGTCACTCAGCCTTGGGTTCTAGGAGTATGTCTCATGGGCCCTGACAGATGACACACTCCCTGAGCTGGCCTCCCTCTGTACACCTCTGCAGCCTGGGGCAGAATTTGGCCCAGAAGTGGAAAGAAGAATGCCAGCTGAGGCTTGTGCCACCTCTATTTCCCACTCAGGCCATCTTACATGATTTCCTCCTGTCCCCCTGTCACTAGGACAGCTGTCACGCTCCCATGTTGGGTCCCTCTGCTTCTTTGCTCAAGGTTCTCTCTTCTCTACCTGTGGTTCTCAAGCTTGGTTTCACAGCAAAACCCCTTGGGAGGGGAGGGCTTGTTAAACTGGAACGTCTCAAACCCCATCCCTGCTGAAGCCAATCCGCCTGGTCTAGGGTAGACTTAGCATCTGTACTAAACATTGGTCTCTCACCGTGCCCCATATCTCACCACTAGCTGAGACTTTAAAATCCCCAAACCAGTGGCTCTCAGACCTGGCAGTACATTCGAGTCACCTGGGAGCTTTAAAAGCCAATCATAAAATTAGAATATCTTAGGGTGGAGGGCTGGGCAACATTTTTAGCTCTCAGTGAAATTATAATGCATAACGAGGGTTGAGAATCATTGGCTTAAACTCCCTCCCAATTTCCACACTTATGTAAATGAAATGAAAATCATCTCAAATTAGGAAGCAGATCTAAAGAAGTACTAAATGATTCTGATTTTTGGAACGAAAACCACTTCGATTTTTTGTTGTTGCTGCTGAAGTATTAAATACCCAAGTCTTAGATTTAGTGCCCTTCCTGCTTTACAGGAGCCCCAAGAATGTCTGTAGTCTGCCCTGGTCCTGCCCCCTTCCTCTCCCCTTCCCACCCTAGGCTGTTACCTGCACAGCGGTGGAGGGGCCTGCAGAGGCCCCAGGCTTGGGTGCGCAGCGATCAGCATGGCCGTGACAGAAGCAGCTCCCCTGCAGACGGAGCTGGGACACAGCATAGTAGGCGCTGGGAGGGTGGTAGCCCCTTTGGGGCACAGGGGCCAGCCTGGTGAAATTGACTCTCAAGTTTGTGATCTCCCCCACCTCTGAGAGGGCCAAACAGCAAGGAGGGAAGAGTTGGAGAATGGAAAATAAAGAAAGGAAGTTAGAGGCACATAGAGTCTCCTTCATATGTGATACCGTGGGCCATCCTCTCCAGACCTCAACCATCCCATAGCATCCCACAGACAATATCCCTATGGGGCAAGCAGGGCAAGTATCAAATCCCCAACCACGTTGACAAAAACATGAAAGACCAGGAAATTTCCATGACCTGGGCTCCAACTCTGTTTCCTTTCCCACCCATAGTTCCATGGACAAGAGAAGTAACCACACTGACCTTGAATTTTTTGACTTTGAGTTGCTGGAATCCCAGACACTAAATCCATAAGGTTAAGTTGGACCTACAGAGGGAAGGGAAAGAGAAGCGCTGAAGAAGAGACAAATAGTGTGCCCCGAGTTCAGAAGAAACCTTTCTTTCCATTATATGCCTCACACTTGAAGTCCTTGTTACCTGGAACCTGAGATAGACCATGGCTATGAGGCTTGTCATCTGCTGTGGGGGAGAAAGATGATCACTGGGCCCTAAACGTGTGTGTGTGTGTACCCCACCCCCAACCCCTGCCAGTTGAAAATATAAGTATCCTAAGAATTTTCTGAGTTCCCTGGGTCAAAAAGTATGGTAAGATATATCATCTACATATAAGGGTTTAGGAGATACTAATTTTCTGATGACTCAGGATGAGTGAGAAATCTAAAACCCAAGGATGCGTGAATGTGGGTGACCACAGCACTCTGGACAATCCCAGTTTCAACTATGCTTTGATTTATTCAAAAAAAAAAAATCCACTCATCATCTACATATCCCAGGAAGAGTTTTCACATCAGCCCTCCACAAGTTAGGAAAAAGTTCTTATCTGGTGTGTGAAGAATGTAGTTAACATAGATTTGCGTAAGGGTATAACCAAGGAGGAACTGCTAAAACCAAAGGAAGAGTTGCATGGCCTGCATAGAGGGCCCCACTCTGAGCATCGGTCCACATGAGAGCAGCTCTGAGGGCTCACCTGTGTCTCAGCCAGGGAAAGGAGAAGAGAAACTACAGCCTCCTCTGCCAGGGGATGGGGAAACGCAGTTATGAAAGAATTTGACCCACGTTGGGAGGACTTAGGGAGAAACATTCTGAGTTTTTCTTCAGGCAGGTTCTTATTTCTAGCTCAGGGTTTAAGCTCAGGAGAATTCGGGCTCTGGGTTTACCAGAATTCCCTCCAAGGGCTAAGACTGGGTTAGATGGATAGATTAAACTGAAAATGTTTATTTTTGTGTTAAACCCTACCAAGGTGAAATGAAATTTGTGTAATTTGCTCACTTGCATCTAACTAGCATCCCAAAGTCCTCATATCAAAGTAGGGTCGATTTCATCTTCCCACTAGAGGGATGAGCCAATGAGTCACGGGGGAGGGGGCTGTGGAAGACGGCAGGGGTGAGTAATGCGGTGGCCCCAAGGTGTTGCTGAAATATCCTTCCTCAGCAAAGAGGATAAGCAGCAAATGTTTTGAGGGTGGCCACAGGGGTCATTACTGGTGGGAATTCAGGAAAGTCAGCAAGGGGAGCTGGCGAGGGTGTTTCCGTCCCTTCTCAGGAGTCCGTGTGGCTGTGTGAACAGTGGGACATCAGGGATTTCTCCCCAGGCCTACTTTTCAGGATTCCCTCTACCTACCTTCCCCCCATTTAGGCGTGCATTAGGCCTCTGAGGCAGGGACTGGCACCGAACATCCTGCCAGCTCTGAGGCCGACCCTGGCGGACCCGAGGGAAGGTGGAGGTGCAGTCGGCAGCCAGGTACTGGTACACTCGCCAGGTCTTACCGAAGTCTGAGGAGCGCTCAATCAGCATGCCGGCGGGCATGGGCCCCTGTGGAGACAGGGGCAGTGTGCAGAGGGGAGGCACTGGGGCTGTGCCCCGTGGAGACACAAGCAGAGAGACAGGCTCCTCCAGTGAACTCGGGAGAAAGGGGGCCCAGTGGGAGCAAGTGGGCTCGGAGCATCCGGGTCCAAACCTCCTGGCATACCACAGGCCACAGAAGTTTCTCCCAGGATCTGCCTTCCAGGAGTGATCCCTAGCTCAGCTCACCAGGCTTCCAGGATAGACATTTCTCTGCTCCTACACTTCGCACAGTTGACCATTTTTTATTCTCTCTCTCTCTCTCTCTCTCTCTCTCTCTCTCTCTCTCCTCTCTCTGTCTCTCTCCTGGAACTCATGTCCAGCCTCCTCTGTCATGGCCCTCCAAACCACATTCCCCACTCACCAGAGAGCTCTTCCTGGGTGATTATCTGATCTGTGAGAGCTTCAATCAGTCTGCATTGATCTCATGATATAAACTGAGCACCTTAGCATGACATATTGAGTCCCTGCTCCTTCCTACAAAATGATTTCATCCATTTTGGGTGGCTTTAAATGTGGTCTTTATGCTGACAGCTCCCAGCTTGAACAACTTCCTGGAACTGCAGGTCTATAATAAACTCAGCCTCCAAAGCAGATACTGAACCAGGCCCAGGCCTGTCTCTCCAGCTTCAGGGTCCCCTCCTGCCTGATCTCCCTAGTAAGCTTCATCTGATTTCCCCTTTCCCCACGTTCACTCTTACTCAGTCATATCTTCTGTTTTTTGTTTGTTTGTTTGTTTGTTTGTTTGTTTTGAAACAGAGCCTCACTCCGTCACTCAGGCCAGAGTGCAGTGGTACGATCTTGGCTCACTGCAACCTCCGCCTCCTAGGTTCCAGCGATTCTCATGTCTCAGCCTCCTGAGTAGCTGGAATTACAGGCGCACACCACCATGCCCTGCTAATTTTTGTATTTTTAGTAGAAATGGGTTTTCACCATGTTGGCCAGGCTGGTCTTGAACTCCTGACCTCAAGTGATCCACCCGCCTCGGCCTCCCAACGTGCTGAGATTGCAGGTGTGAGCCACTGTGCCCAGCTAATCATATTTTTAGTAGAGACAGGGTTTTGCCATGTTGGCCAGGCTGGTCATCTTCTTAATGATTTTAAAACATAAAATGGGCCTTGTCAGTCCTCTGCTAAAAATCCTCCAATACTATTCTGGAACGAAATCTGAACTTCTGACCATGAGTGAAGAGGCCCCAGGCTCCCTGGGCCCTGCCTCCTCTCAGGCCACCTCTTCTCTTCAAGCCCTAAACCAAGCTCATTCCCTCCTCAGAGCCTTTGTCCAGTCTTTCTTGGAATGCTCCTCCCGCTGGTGGGTTCCCTCTCATCTTTTGTTCTCAGCTGAAATGTCATTTCCTGGTACAGATCTTTTGATACCTGACTGAACTGCATTCTCCTGCTCACGTCTGGCCCACCCCACCCTGCCCCATTATTTTCTATTTCAGCATCTTGTTTCCTTCAGAAACGTCACCACGATTTCCAATTATTTACTTGTTGGTTTCTTGCTTTTTATTCTTTTCCTGTGAGACCAGGATTTCTCAACCGTTCTCACTGTTAAAGTATTGAGTTGGAGAAATCTTAGTCCTAGAAGCTGTCCTGTGCACTGTAGCCTGGTGAACAGCGTCCCTGACTTCTACCCACCAGTTATCATTACATACCCATAGTTATGACAACCAAAAATGTCTCCAGAAATTGTCAGATATCCCCTGGGGGAGAGGAGAGGGCAAAACAGTGCCCCTGGTTGAGACTCAGTAAACCAGGCTGTAGCCCCTATTGTCTGTGGTTCACAGGTGGACCCCCAACACCTAGCACATGGGTGTTTAGCACATATTTGTTGAACAAATGGTGAATCTTCAGTCTGCTCCCCTCCCCCTGTGTATACCTGGAAACTCATCTCGCAGCAGTCTTCAGCCCTCCACATCCCTGCCTCTTGCCACCAAGCACATTTCACCCTCCAGGCCCTGTGTGCATTCCCTTGCCCCCAACCCCAGTCATATACCTCATCTTCTTGCCGCCTGCCTCCCGGCCTTTGTGCTTATGGTTCTGTTTTCTTGGAATAAACATTGCCCTTCCCCTGGCCATTACTGGTCTATGAAAGTTCATCTTCCCCTGGGTGCACTCCCTGACAAGCCCTCCCAAGACAGACCATGCAAGAGCCCCATTCTGGGCTCCCAGCACCTCTTCTTACCAATATCAGAGCACACATTGCACTCTCTCACTACTGACTTCCCCACGTATGGTGAAAGCAGCTTGAAGACTGTGATTTGGTTTTATTCATCTTTATATCCCTAACATCTGACACCAAGCCTAATGAGTAATCAGTGTTCAATAAGCGCTCACAAATAAATGACAAATAAATGAACAGGTGAGCGATGATAAAGTGAGGAGACTATTTAACACTGTCTATCAAATGAATATGCTGCCCTTCAAAGTTGCCACCTTTAGAGACTGGGCATTTATTCAAACAATGCTGGCATTTCTCAAAATATTTTTGACCTTTAGATGGGGCAAGGCTCTTAGAGCCAACTTCTTCAGTCATGTAAGAAATTAGGTCCTATTACTTTTTATTCCAAGCTCATTTTAACTCCTGAAAATTATATCTCCCTTCCTAATCCTTTAATCTTATTAACCAAATTTGATCATTGAATATCTGACTATTTCTGTAGAAAGAATAAAACCAAATCATCTCTGAAAAGAAAAAATTGACCTATGGCAATTAAATGAAAATGTTTCCTCCAAAAGAAGTATCTAGAAGGATGTTCTAAAGGCAGAATCTGAAAGTGCTTTGAGAAGTAATGGCGCTGAATGAGTAGATTGCCCACCAAGAGAGCTGCACCAAAGGAATATCCATCAGTTAGTTGGATAGGCAAGTTCTTGGCTGCTTGTTAAAGTCAATCTAATATGCAAAGTTATTAAAACAGAGTATACCAAGAATACACAACTGTACAACAAGCAACCGGGCCCAGTAGAATTGGTACTTGGCAGAGCTGAATTAATTAGATGGGTTGAGGGTGGAGAATGAGAGAGGAAGAGGATATGCAACCACTGCACGGCCAAGACAGGGAGCCAGGAGGTGCCACTTTTAGCCCAGGAGCGAGTCCTCTTCTGTCACCATGATATAGGCTCATGGTGAGTGTTGCCCCAACCCAGAGAGACAAGGACACTGTGCTCCTCCATGGCTCCACGCCCACATGGCCCAGGAGCCCCTCTCCTATCCACTGCCACCCCCAGGAGGCACACCTGGAACTCCATCATGACTTCTTGAAGCTGGAATCTCCTGTCCAGGTCCAGCTGCAGAGAGACAGGGTTCACATCTGGAAGGACAAAAAATAGAAACTGTCATCCAGAGACTGTCCACTTCCCCAGCCCTGAAGGAAGCCCTGGATTAGACTAGCTCTAGGAACTCAGAAACTCTCTAACCTTGATTTTCCAAACTCCCTCTTGGAGAGGAGTGGGGAGTGGTATGTTTCTGCTTATATTATCTATTCAAGATCCTATCTGTTTTTGGCTAAGTTTCCTTCCCACCATCACCTGATGTCTTCAATACTTTGGAGGGCTTCAACTTGTCTGTTCCACACAGACTTGTTCCCCAAACTTAATTCTGCAAGCCCACCCACTGAGACTGAGTGGAGGGAAATAAAGACATTCCTCTCTCCTCACACCCTTTCTTTCACCTCCAATAAATTCTTCTACCATAACATCCAACAGACCCCAAATATGAGGCAGAAAGATTCTTCTTATCAATCACCCATGTCACACCACCATAAGAAATGCCTGGGAAACCCAAAGGGTTATAGGGCACCTTCCATCCGTCTTATCCTGTGGAGGCTGTACAGTTTGAGTTCCCGTAGATGGCAAATGCTCACCATTCTGTGACTGCCACCAGCGCATGGGGCCGGAGGATGAAGCCACATTCTCTACTCGGTGACTGTAGTAGTTGTGAGGCTGCCTGGAGTCACACTTGCAGCATTTCATCTGCCACTGTGGGAGAGGGAGATAGCAGACACTCAGAGGTGGGGTCCTGATAGAATTCCCCCTTGCGTCCTGAGATCCCAGCATATCTCCTCTGTGGAAATCCTGCCCTTAGGAATCACTAATTTTATTAATACAATTTGAAGGGTTAATCTCTTAAAACACAGCTATTGATCACCTTTTAATTGGTCATCTTTTAATTCCTTGGTGCCCCTCCTAACACATAGCAAGTGAATGGTGAATAGATGTGTGAACGGAGAAGAGGTACGAGGTGGGAAAAAATACTTGAGTATATGATATTGCCTTGCAGAGAAACTTGAGAAAAGTGCCGAGAAAAAAAAAAGGGGGGCGGGGGGAGAAATTCATATTATTTGAGCATCTACGACATACTGGGCACAGGCTGGAAAGTTTTATAGTTTACCTCATTTAATCCTGGCAGCCTGGGAAATTCTGGGGTTTTAAGGATCAGAGAGAGAGGACTCCAAAAGAGGACAAGGAAATGTGGAGTTACAGTCCTAGCTCTGTCACCTCTACTTCCTAGGCTTAACTTTCTCCTCCATAAATTAAGTGGGGATTGAGCTAGAGCTTTTCATTTACCCAGCAAATGCTTATTTAGCATATACTATGTGCCAGACTCTACTCTGGGCTCTGGAGTTACAATAGGGAACAAAACAAAGGCCCTGCCCTCAGGGACCCAAAATTCTAGTGACATTCAAATGATCTCTAAGGCCTTCCAGCAGTGACATCTGGGGCGTGAGGATCTTTCTCAGGTTCGGTATTCCCTACCTACAGGAGAGCAACCGGCCTCACTGGGGAGGTCACCAATAACCTGGCCTACGCTTATCTCTTGGAATGAGACAGGAGCCAGAACTGAACCCCATAGGTTTCATGGCAGAGCAAGGATCACCAAGAAAAAGAGCATGGCCAGAGAGGCGATATATCCCTTGTTCTTTTAGCTTGTGCCTATGTGCATACATATACACATACACACACACACACACACGCACACGCGTGCACATGCGCACACGCACACACACACACACAGATAACACGACCTTTTCCCAGCTCCCCCATATAACATACATAAAATCTGCTTTCTCTGAGTAGCCATGATCCCAAACCCTGTGCGCAGCTTAAACCATACTGTCCAGAGGGCTCCAGATTTACCCACAAATAGATGCAAGTCTTGGACAAGAAACTCCTGGACCTGCAGGTCCTTCTGGGTAGGGAAAACTGTCCCTCCACACACCCTGTACCGCTGCTTTCCTCTAAGCCTCCACTCACCAGAACAAAGAACCGACCCAAAGAGTCTGAGTGGATATATGGGGCCTATGCCTTGAGTGATAGAACCTCCCTGCCCAACACCCATCTTCCCTCTCCAAAGCTGGCACAGCCTGCAACAGGAGAGAGCAAAGAGGGGAGCCAGGTGTCTTGGTTCCCTGGGCCTCTGCTTCCCACTCCACTTTCCAGGTCTCACCCAGTCTGCAAATGAAGAGAACTATCACCCTTCCTAGTGCTTGGAGGTGCCCTTGGCATGTCCAAAAATGCTTTATTAAACATTCATTCTTTGGGTGTTTAAGGCTCAAATAACAGCTGGCACATAAGCCCTTTATAAAGTAGTACCCATTGGTGGGGTGTGGTGGCTCACGCCTGTAATCCCAGCACTTTAGGAGGCCAAGGCAGGCAGATCACGAGGTCAGGAGTTCAAGACCAGCCTGGCCAATATGGTGAAACCCTGTCTCTACTAAAAATACAAAAATTAGCTGGGCATGGTGGCAGGTGCCTGTAGTCCCAGCTACTCGGGAGGCTGGGGCAAGAGAATCGCTTGAACTTGGGAGGCAGAGGTTGCAGTGAGACGAGATCGTGCCACTGCACTCCAGCCTAGGCGACAGAGCGAGACTCTGTCTCAAAAAAAAAAAAGTAATAAAATAAAATAAAGTAGCACCCATTGCCCCACCTCCCACCACTCACTGTGCATTCCCTTGCCCTGTTATATTTTTTTCATAGTACATATCTCCACTTGACACATTGCATATTTACTGTCTATTTATTTATTTGTATATTGTCTGCCTCCCTCTTCTAGAATGCATACTCCATGAGGGCAGGAATTTGCATTCCTTCACTGCTGTATTCCCAGTGCTTAGAAAAATACCTAGCACAGGCCAGGCGCGGTGGCTCACGCCTATAATCCCAGCGCTTTGGGAGGCCAAGGCGGGCGGATCACGAGGTCAGGAGATCGAGACCATCCTGGCTAACACAGTGAAACCCCCTCTCTACTAAAAATACAAAAAAAATTAACTGGGCATGGTGGCGGGCCCCTGTAGTCCCAGCTACTCTGGAGGCTGAGGCAGGAGAATGGCATGACCCATGGAGGCAGAGCTTGCAGTGAGCTGAGACCGTGCCACTGCACTCCAGCCTGGGCAACAGAGCGAGACTCTGTCTCAAAAAAAAAAAAAAAATTTAAAAAAAAAAAAAGAAAGAAAAATACCTAGCACATAATACACCCTCACTAAATACTTCTTGAATAAACGAATAGCAAATTTTCAGTAAAGGCAAACTATTTGCATTAGCATTATTACTAGGCACTCCCTTCCTGCACTCAGGGAGTTTGAAAGGAGGGGTGGAAGAGTGAGTAGGTAATAAAGCATCAGTAGTAAGTGGTGGAGTACAACCATGTGCAGTGGAGTCCTTGGTAGTTTCAATGCAATAACCTACTTAAATCTCACAATAACCCTACATGATAAGTAGTATTAGCCCCATTTACAGAGGGGAATGCTGAGGCACAAAGAGGCAACATGACTTTGCTATTGACTGATCCCCAACGTTAGCATCAGAAAGGGTCCCTCTCCTCTCTCTCTTTCTCCCTTCTTTCATCCTCTCACTTCCACTCGAAACTAGCTGAGTGGCAAAGATGTAGGGAAGTATGCTAAAGGGTAGCAGTCTCTGTCTCACACAGCGAGCCCCAAGGCCCCAAGAAGGGCTTGGTCTGACCTTGAAGCTTATCACAGGGAAGGCTAAGGCAGAGAGAGCACTTTGGGAAGAAACGGGGCTTCTCCAGCTGACTCAGCTCAGTTACCACAGAAACTGGAGACCTGTCGCTGGCTGAAATACCTGAGCACTTAAAATAATCCTTTCTGGGCAAGAGAAGGCCCTTGCTAGAGCCTGACTCCCCTCCAGACCCCTATTTTGGTCCCTGGCAGTGAGCATGCCCTTCTTTATACTCTTCCCAGCCTCTCAGGAACAAACTTTTCCACTCCCGTCCTCTGTCTGCACTCAGCACATGTCCTGAGGAGAGACAAGGGCCAGCTGCCTTCCGGCCGCCTGTCACCAGAGCTTTCTCCCCAGCTCTGCTGGGAGCTGGTCCAGCCCTTCCCTGGTCAAGAGAGTGCCAGAAACAAGCCTCTTTCTTTCCCTGGGCCATGGGACAAGGAGCTGGAGACTGCGGAAATGCCCCTGATACTCCCAAACGACAGGATATTATGTAACTATTAAAAACACTGTTTAGAGAAAAAATTTTAATTGCATGGAGAAATGATTATATTATGTTTTATGAAAAAAAGCTGGGCATACACTTGCATATACATTATAATCTCAAATATATGTGTGTGTGTGAATATATATATATGTATATATTTCCATTTAAAGGAATGTAAAGTATTTGGAAGGAAATACACCAATATATTAAGTGAAAACATGAAATTGCTGATATTCACCCATTTTGACCTACAAAAATGGCAACTGCATACAGTTCAACCTGATATCTCTGGGTAGTGGAATCATAGATAACTTTTTTTCCTTCTCTGTTATTTTTTATTATGTTTAAGCTTTTTTGTTTGTTTGTTTGTTTGTTTTTTGAGATAGGGTCTCACTCTCTCACCCAGACTCTGGAGTGCAGTGCCGCGATCTCTGCTCACTGCAACCCTCTGCCTCCCAGGCTCAAGCGATTCTCCCGCCTCGGCCTCCCGAGTAGCTAGGATTACAGGCACATGCCACTATGCCCAGCTAATTTTTGTATTTTTAGTAGAGACGGGATTTCACCATGTTGGCCAGGCTGGTCTCGAACTCCTGACCTCAAATGATCCACCCACCCCAGCCTCCCAAAGTGCTGAGATTACAGGTGTGAGCCACTTGCACCCAGCTTGTTTAAATTTTTATACCTTGGATACATATTAACTTTTATATTCAGGAGAGCAAATAGTATCATAAAACAAAACCAACTAAAAATGGCCAGGGTTTATTGCCCTGCTCCTCCCTCAGTCTTCATGGGGATAATCTGGGGCACCCATGCCTTCTTCTCCTTCTGTCCACGTGTGCAGGCACTGATGGCAGGATCAGATGGCATCATAGGCTTACAAACTGCATGCTGCTTATCACAGTAACATAGCCGAAGGAGGAATTTACCTCAATCCTCAGAGACAGGCTAAGCCAACAGGCAAGACAGGTATTTTAAGTAGCTCTGCCTGTCAACGAGCTAGCAGGACAGAAGCCTGAAATAGAGTAGTTTATGGCAGAAGCCCACATGAAGACAAGCTGCTAATTTATCCTTCCCCTCTGGGTCTCAGTTTCCCTTTCTGCTTTATTCTTGTATGCTTATATGTAGGGTGCACACATTTGTAAGCGTCGTGTGCATGTGTGATTCTCAGTGTGAGAATCTCTCATATGTGATATGCCCCCATCTCTCCC
The DNA here is from genome assembly GCF_000001405.40 of Homo sapiens. Lineage (NCBI taxonomy): Eukaryota > Metazoa > Chordata > Mammalia > Primates > Hominidae > Homo > Homo sapiens. The sequence goes on from NC_000001.11 coordinate 209,643,323, forward strand.
AGTGATGGCAGCTCTCTGCTGCAGCTGCCTCCCTCTCTGGGGTCATTTGGCTGGCATTCTCCTGGCTGCATTACCTCAGAGACACAGTACTATTATCAATTCAGCCTGTCAGGCCTCCAGCCAGTTTGGCTCCTACTTGCTCTCCAGCTGGAAAGGCTAGGCCTTCTCCCTTATCCTAGAGCTTTCTAGAAGCTCAGCAGTCTGGCTGGAAGATGAACCCTCCCAGAGAGCCAGGGGAGGGCAAAGGAGCAAGAGGGCAAGAGCCAGCAGGGGCCTGAATCATGGTGGAGATGGGTGGAAAAGGAGGGCACACACAACTAAAAACTCTGAGCCTTTGTAAAACACAGAGCTAATTCTGGGGGAGAATAGGAAAACAGGCTCTGATTATGCATGGCCCAGCTCCCTCCCATGAGGAAGCCAGAGGGCTGTCTGAGTTCATCTAAGAAGCTACGATCGGGTCATGGCCACCAGCCAGGGCCAAAAGCAAAAAAAAAAAAAAAATCTAGCTGCCTTCAAGAAAATACATTTCCTCCACTTCCACATTCCTATTGGTGAAATACAAGGGTTGAATGAGATAATAAAGTTCCATCTTGTTCTAACATGCTCTTAGAGTTCTTCCCTGCTCTAGCACATCAGCCCAGAAGTTAAAGGTACTCTCAGCAAGTAGACAAAGAAAGCAAGAGAAAAACAAGACATTCCCCAGATGCTATCCTGGAGAAACACTTTTTCCAGCAATATGGACAGGGAGAAGGAGATCCTTGAGGCCTATGGTCAGTCAGGCCTCCATTAGAACCCACCGCAGTTCAAAAGCCTCAGCATTTCTATGTCAATGCATATTGGCAATGAAGATCAAAAGGCAGCACCTAGTGCAGGCGCTGGGTGGGAGGACAGCCGTATGTGAGATACTTTCAACTTTGTGTTTTTCCTTATCACGAAGTGAAATTTTGACCAAAGCCTTAACTCAGTACAGCTGTTATTTCCATCCTAACTAAATTCAGAAATCACTCTCTGAAGCTGATTATAGAGATGATATATGCTACACACTCAAAAATTACACTGCACCAGCCTCAGTCCTCAGCAGTGTACATATATTATCTTATTCCATCCTTCAAAAATCTCTGAGGTAGCTATACTACATTTACAAATGGTAGGTATCCCCATTTTGCAGATTAGGAAAGTGATAAGTTAAGAAATGTGTCCAAGCCCATAAAGTTAGCAAGGGATGAAGCACAGATTCTTGTCCCACCTGTCTGACTCCAAAACTACCTGTGCTGTTCTTTTTTTTTTTTCTTTCCTCCCCAGCATACTGGTGCTGTTCTGATTCAAGGAGCATAGCAGTCACTTGGCAATCACTGAAAATTTCAGAGTTGGTTTTCAGGAAACTCCCTTCTTCTGCTTCATTCCACCCCACTGGAAAGGCAACCTCAACTTCAGCACAGACATCTCCAGAAAGAGGGATGTCCCCTGGACCTGAGTGCAGAAAGTTGGCTAGTGTGCCGGGGACCTCTACAGGTCCTGCCAGTGGCAATGGCTACAGACCCTCATATGGCACCCAGGCAGGGGGTAGATGGCCAGGAAAAGAAGCAAGGTAGGTCTGCAAGACAGTTCCCAGAGGCTTCTGTGGGCCTGGACCCCAGAAGCAATGGAGTGAGAAGCCAGGCTAGCAAAGTTGTGAGGCCATCCAGGTTTGTCTTCGGGCCTTCCCATTTCACATTTCTCCTCTCTGCTTTTAACCTCACAAGGCCTACCCCTTAGCCCATAACAATTAGGACCCAAGAATCTCACATTCCACCAACCCAAGTTTTGCTTCTCTCTGATAGCAATTTTTCCCTACAATGTCCCTTTCCATTTTCTTCTATCCCCTCAAAACAAGACTCATTTTGGGTCTCGTGGGTCCCTTTGCAAAAGTCACATCTAAGTTTCTGATAAACATAGTCTTGCTGAGGGATGAATGGCAGGTCATAGATTGATATGGTGCTTTTCTCAAGGCTATCTGTGTTTTAAACAAGGAACTCAGTAATGCTTCATCCAAAACAGTAAACTCCCAAGGTAGAGCTCTGGAAGCTTTAGACCTGCTTAGGGCTTCTGGGAAACAAAAAAGCAGATATTTTGGGCCGGGGGGAGTGGCTCACACCTGTAATCCAGCACTTTGGGAGGCCAAGGCGGGCAGATCGCTTGAGGTCAGGAGTTCGAGACCAGCCTGGCCAACATGGTGAAACCCTGTCTCTACTAAAAATACAAAAATCAACTGGGCATGGTGGCATATGCCTGTAATCCCAGCTACTCAGGAAGCTGAGGCAGGAGAATTACTTGAACCTGGGAAGCAGAGGTTGCTGTGAGCCGAGATCATGCCACTGTACTCCAGCCTGGGTGGCAGAGCAAGACTCTGTGTCCCAGGGGAAAAAAAAAAAAAAAAGCAGATATTTTGGTCAGAGGCGGGCTCAAAATCCCTTGTGGGTTGAGTACAGGGATCATAGTACATATATGAACACATCCTCTGCCTACACATTAGCCTTCCTGAAAATCAAGAAAACAGACAACTGTCAAACAAAGAAAGGCAGTGGTCGTTGGAGTGTGTGTGTCAGCGGGCAGGGGGATAAGGGTGCATTTACATGCATGTGCGCCTGCGCGTATTAGAGAGGAGGGACTTCCAACTGGCTACTGTTCCTCAGCTTGTTTCCAAGAGATAAAAATGACAGCTGTTTGGCTTAGATAATTAACCTGAGGAATGCGCTGTGTAAGACTGTTATTAAGGCAGCTGGGCAATTAAGTTTTTCCCCAGAAAGGGAGGGAATGGGGGATAAATAAAGCATTTAGGGGAGCAGACACAACACTGGAGGAGACATTGTCGGGAGCAGAAATCAGGGATGGAAAGCTTTCCGGCAAATCCGCTGGTTCTTGAGGAATGCGTGTCATCCCAGAGATGACCGAAGGGCATGGTGCAGCCCCTGCCTTCACACGCCCTGAGAGAGGACAGTGGACTCTCAGGGTCACACACAGCCCATCTGTCTCTGAGAAGCAAGCTGAGTGGCCAGCGCTGAATAAACGGCAAAGGTTGACTAACCCAGCTCCTTCACTTCACACATGGAAAAATGGTGGTTTGGTGAAGAGCCCTGACTTTCACAAGGCCACATCCCTGTTATTAGTGTCAAAACCAGAACCAGAATGAGGGAGTCCTCACCCCCAGTCTGGGGTGACTTCACTAACCATGACCGCCTGTGGATTCTTCAACAGCTCACTCTAAGTCAGATTGGCACCGATCACCTTGGGAGGCACAGAGGAGGGCAGCCCAGGGATGGGTGGATTTTAGTGAGGTACGCGAACGCATGTCCTGATCAGGGAAGAAATGCTCAGGAGTGTGATTTGCAGATGGGGCAGCCTCTGCATGTGGATGCAGCCACCAGGAGGCAGGCAGGAGAGAAGGGTTGGATAGAACAGTTTGCATCTGCCAGGCACTATGCTGGTGGTCACTTTACACATTCTTTTATAGAGTGCTCATGACAACCACTGAAGCCCATTTTTCAAATGAGGCCAACGGATAGCACAGAAGTAAATGAGGGCAGGGAAGCATCACAGAATCACAGACATTTTCATCCATGCCTTGAGATTGAGGGAATAATAGTGCAGTGAGTTTTCCTAGAATCCATCTAGGAGCTGGAAGAAAGAAAGCAAGAGGCCAGGGTGATGGGACTACAGCTTCAGGCCATTTTGGCAAAGAACAGCCTTGTCCCAACCACAGACAGTTAATGGGTCATCAAAGCAGATGAGCCCAGAAGGGCAAAGTTGGGGAGGCAGAGAAGATGCCATAAGGCAAAGCTGGCCAAGACCTATGTCCATTGCAAGGGTTGCAACATGGACCCGGAATTTACAGAAGCAAGCCCTTGAGACCAGTGGGATTCAGCAACTGAGACAGAATTGGGTGGAGGAGGTAACATGCAAACAGGCTAAGACTGGTCCACAAAAAGGAAGCCACACTTGGAGGAAGGGAACTAGGAGAGACAATTTTGGAACTAAAAGGAGTCTCTACTGCTCCTGTAACTCCATTCTGCTGAGTCGCCCTCTGTTAGTCGGCTGGAACTGGGTTGGGGAGTGGAGTGAGCAAGGCAGAAATGTCCAGGGGTCATAAATCTCCACCCCATTGTCCTTGCATTCATGGCACATCAGTAGGATGTGGCACAGAAGAATGATCTGGTCCTGGGCTCAGGGCTCGCTATGTCATCCCTGCATGGAGATAGAACAGAGGCACTAGCCAGAGGCCTTGGCTTCAGGGAAGTGTGTCTGTGGGAGTGGGAACTACTAGAGAGGGGTGATAGGGAAGGGTGAAGGGAGAGGCAGTAGGAATACAGCATTGCATTCGGCCAGCCTCATTTCTGGCTGTGGCTGTCCAGTACACCCCCTATCTCTAACTACTCAGAAAACTCAATACACGATATGTTTCTCTCGGAAGTCTAAGATCCCAGCACACAACCAAACCCTCCCAATAGCTCACAGGGAAAACATGAGCCACTTCATGGGTGTTATAAGAATTATTTGAGATAATTTATATAAAACTCTTAATATGATGCCAAAGACACATATGATATGCTTAATGAATTATAATTGCCATTAGTATCATTTAATAACAAAATAAACAAAAACTGAAATTAGAACTCAGCAGAATTAAAACCTGAATTTCTAATTCTTATCATGCAGCCACCAGAGCACCCAGAGGGGGTTCAGGGTACATCTGTCCAGAGGACAAAAAGGGAGTCTCTATGCCTTTAGTATCTATCTTCATTGCTGGAACCCATGGCCTCTGCAAAGGGTAGGCATGTAGTAGTGAGGGAAAGAGAAATGAAACAAGACAGAGAGGTGGAAGATGGGGGAGAGATGCTGATTGTCAGCAGTCGGCTCATTGCCAAAGAATGTTAGGGAAAAGGAGGGACCCTAAAGACCATCTCATCTAATACTCACTTACAGAAAAGGACAGCGAGGCTTACACAGGGGTAATCTCTTGCCCAAGGTCACACCTCAAGTCAGTGGCAGACCTGAAACTACACACTACATGAAAGATACTCCCTGCTATCCTCTATTCTTTCCAAAAGGCTAGATAAATTTATTCCCCCTTAGAAAAAAAAGAAGAAACAGCCAGTGCTTCTCAGCTTTCACAGCAGAAAAATAGCTGAGATTTATCCATCCCCAGGGTTGCAAAAGTCTAGACTCTGTTTTATAAGCACCCTGTTTTGCTCTCAAGGGGCTACTTAGGAGCAGAGAAGACAGCTGGCTTCCTGGGGCATCAGAGAGGCAGAGGGCAGGCCAGTGTTAAGCCAAAAGCCCCAGGCCTGGAGGAGGAGAAACTTTTCAGACAGGACTGGGATCAAGGGTACATCCCAACATAGGGGTCTCTGACCTCTCCTTGCCTCCCCTCCCAAAATGCAAGTCAGCCTGAGAAAGGAAATCGGCAGAGGTCTCCCTGAAATTTTTAGATATGGGCTCATAATTTGGAGGTTATGGGTGGAGGGAACAGCCAAAATCACTCTGTTGCCTAAAAAAAAAAATTTTTTTAATTTTTATTTTTTTAAAAATTCAATACTCAATACTGCCAGGTCCCCTGATGCTCATGGAGTAATCTAGACCCACAGGGAGTCCTGGCTAGGGCTGGCCATCTTACCCAACCCTGTCAAATGAGCTTCCCCACATCCAAGTGGGTGAGATGCAAAAACCACAGCCATCTCTGCTCAGCAACTCCAGTCATTTCCCTATACCATCTGTGCTAAAATAGCCAAGAGAACACAGGGACTAGAAGGGCAGTGAGGCCCAGAGGCCATATCAGATACCACCTTCCACAGCCCAGAAGACAAGGGCAGCCTGGAAAGGGGACAGATAACCCCGGTCTCTTTCCCCAAAAGGCTACAGCAACTCGGGACAAATCACTCCCTTATCCATTCCCTTGTTCAAGCAAAATGGCTAAATGAGGCAGCTGGTAGACAAGAAAACACTGAGTGATTTCAACTTTGGTAAAGAAAGATTCCCCCCTGTTGAGGGCAAACAAAAAGAAAACCAAAGTTCCTATAAAAAAAGACCCAGAGACAAATTAGAAGAAAAGTTTGTAAAAGCCATGACTAACAGGCAATGTTAGTCATAGCTCAAAGCATCGTGTTTCTGGATTTGATCCAACTTACATCTGAGCCTCTGACCCTGCTGGATAAGCTCAAGTCACTTCCTCATCTATCTCACTGACCATGGCACAGCTCAGTTCCTGCCATGGCAAGAACACAGTTCGGCCCACACATCCCAGCACCAAATAACACATGAGGCTCCATACACATAAACGGCCAGTGTTTGGCCTATTTGCCTATTCCCAAGACTTGAAAGACTATCCTGCCCATGCCCAAGGACTGAGAAAAGACTCCGTGTCATCTCAGAGAGATAAGAGAGAAATGAGCTATTTAGTTAATTCTGAGTACATTTCCTCTTGCCCAACCAACAGGTAAATTCCTTAGAGGCAAGGATCTGGCCTTATACTTTTACTGCACTCCCCAGTCCGTGTAGTACACAGGGCTTGGCCTACACCAAGTACATTCTAAGTATTCAGTGGACAAATGGCAGCTCACACACCCCTCCCATCCCGCCTTCCTCCAGTCCTGGGAAGTAGGGCCTACCTCGCCATACTGGGTGCAGTAGGTCTCAGGCTTGGTCAGTCCACAGGTAGATGAAGCTCGGAGAAACCGGGTCCTCCCAACAAGCAGGTCCCCAACAGGTGGATAGCAGGCCCCACGGGAGCAGGCTTGTTGGGCATGCAGGAGGCCAGGCAGGGCTGAAATCACAGGGATGTGTGATGGAGCAGTCCAGAAAAAAAGGGACCTCACTGGCCACCCCAGTATCTTTCAGGGAAGCTGACATTAGCAAGATTATATCCTTTCCCTCACTCAAGCTTCCACTCGCTGCTGGCAGTAATAATTGCAGTATTGATACTGTTATATTTTGAAAGTTGATTTCATATTCCAGAACTCAAAACTTGAAAAGGAGAAGAGGAGAAACACTGGCAACCAAAAACCATAGATGACCCTAAAATATGGCTTTTAGAACCAGACTGGAGACATAGACTCGGCCATCATGACAAGGTCCGCAGCTCTTTCCACCTGCATTGTGGCCTCTGTCAGCAGCCCAGAGGAGGGCTGACTGCTGAGCCATTGGCAGAACATTAAGAAAGGCCTGCATTTATTCTGCTCCTTTATCTTCAAAGCTGCCCCAGCCATACTTTGTGAGTGCCCAGCTACAATTCACTGGAAAACAGGAACTTAAGCCACAGTGGCTCTGGAACCAGCTTGAGAAAGGATGGGAAACTGTGGAGAGCACTCAGGAAACCACAAACCACCCTCGGCTGAGAATAAGAAGACATTTGGGAGCCTTTCCAGAGTGGCAGAGAAACTTCTTCCCCAAAGGCCCAAAGGAATGGGGAAATCTCACAGGTGTCCCCAGTAGACAAGTATTCCCAACTGAAGGGACTACAGGTGACAGGTGATGCCCACACTTTGGTAAACTCTCCTTCTCCCTGTGGCTGTTGCCTCCCTGCCATATAACAGGGCCTGGAAGGATGGGAAGGGGTACTTACCAAAACACAAGAGGAAGAATGGTCTCATCTTCAGCCAATGGGGTGATCCCCAGAAAGGACCTTTCCTAGGACACAGCAAAGCAAACTGGGTACAACAGTGCAAACCCCTAGAGCACACTAGCCCTTTTTCTTTTCTGTTTCTAGACTCAAGTATTTTTCAGAAGTCTTTACCTAGGGTCCTGATCTAGGACACTTGGAGCAGCAGATACATTTGTAGCTTGGAAAATGCTGGAGCTCTAGACCCTTGTCTCAAGTGGCATGTGACTCACAGGGTGCCCTGGGAAAATCCCATCCCTTCCCAGACTCCAGCTTCCTCCTCTAAAATGGATGGGAAGGAGTGTGGACCCTGCCCTACCCCACACAGCCGTAAGGACAACGTGGGGAGCAGGAAAAGGCTGGACCCTTTGCAGGAGAAAAGCTGTAGAAAGGGCCAAGACCTAGTTCCAGCCCCAAGAGAGAGGGCTGGCTTTTCTCAGGGCCTAGACCAGCAGCCTCAACCCAGCCCCGCCCAAAGTGAATGAGTCAGAGTGGCTGACGGCCTGGAGGCAAACCTTCTCCTGTCACGGGCATGGCCTCCAATACCATTCAGGGCCACTTTGAGTTTGAGGCTCTGTGCCCACAATTCTGGGATGCAACAGGGAGAGATGTATGGCTGTCTTTAACAAGTGAGTGAGGGTTTCTTCTGAAAGGGAAGCAACCCAAAATGTCTTCAATGATGGGCTGGGGCTCGACAAGAGGGGTGGGGCTGGGAGGCCACAAAGCAGGGATTCTGAAGGAGGCTGGGGAAGGATGCTCGAAAGCCACCGTGGGGTCCCAGAGGCAGGCCTGCCTTGTGGAAACATGCCCCACCCTTGCTCATGCAGTGACCCTTCTGCCTTGAATTGGATGTTCACTCTGTTCCAATGACAGCCACAAACTCTTTTGGCTGGGGTGGAGGGCTGGGGGCTTGGCAAGGCAGGGGCGGGGGGGGAAATTGAGGACATTTCTGGCATCTTTAAATTATAGATCCTAATGCTTCAAAATCATTCCTTCCAATCCCTCTCCTAAAAGAGTCATGGGCCCAGGGAGGGAACATGTGGCCTGGGGTCCCACAGCTAACGATGGCCTAAGAGAGACCCATCTTCTGACTTTCATCCAGTGCTTTCTCAGCTTTCCCACCCCTGACTGAAAATCCCCCTGCAAGTAGGCATTCTGAGCCAGGCCAGCCCACCCTTCTCACTTCTCTTTTGTGCTCAACCCCGGATCTGAACCTGCTTTCTTCTAAGCCACTGAGGTGCTTATCAAATGTGAAAAAGAAATCAAAACTGTAGCAGACATTTTAACCTAGCTCACCTGAGTGAGCTCCCAGGAAGAGGAATAAATCAGGCCCTGAAACCAGGCCCCAGGCATCCAGAGATACAGTCCTCCTCCCGCATCCGGCCCGCACCAGGCAGGTAAAGACAGGTAACATACCTTGCTGTGTGTTCTGCCGTTCTTTCTCCAGATCGCCTGAAAGCTCCTCTTGAATGTGGGGGTCTCCCCTCCCGGCTCCAGGTTTTTAAACAACAGCCTCACCTCTGGAGACTCCCTGGCTGGGTGTAGCCCCACCGCAGGGCGGGTCTCAGGAATCTGGCAGCCGTCACACCCATCTGTCGTCACTGCACCCCCACCTCCCAGGACGGGACTGGGCAAGTGGGTTGGTCGGTCCGTCCCAGAGTTCTTGTAGTGAGCTCCACAATGCCCACCTGCCTGTGGGGGCTGCAAGGGGCCCCTCAAACAGAAAGCACAAGGCACATGTAAGTGATCATCAGAGACCAGAATTCACAGGGTGGGGAAGGGCCCTTGCATTTGTGCCAGGCAATGAACTCAGCATTTTCCCAAAGCCAGCAGGGGTCAGCTTCTTCTTGTGACCTGGACCACCCCAGACAGAAGATCAGGCAGAGAACACAAAGATTAGGGCTTATATAGAGAGTTAAAGCTCCAGACATATCACCGGGCTGGAAGGTGAGAAGACTCAAACATCCAGGACCCTGGAAAGCACCATTCCCCTCCCCAGTGAAAAAAAAAATGAAAAATCCCAGCTTCTTGGGGCATTTGGAGGATCCTTAAAAGGCAAGGTTCATCAGGAAGGATTCAAAGCTCAACTCATCCAAGGAAAGCTTAAGAGAAATGAGCAGAGTAACTAAATGGCTCGCCTCCAGCTCCCTCCACAGGGTTGGCAGGGAGCCCTGGGACAGGTAGCTGCCTGTGAGTCACTCCTCCCACCTGTGGGGAGGGTTAGTCTCCTAGCCCCTCCCTCCCTAGGCAGGAATGCCCGCCTGGAGGGCCAGAAAACAGACCTGACCACAAGTGGTGGAAGGAAAGGCTGAAGCATAGCTTGACTGACAAAGTCAAAACAGACTTTCCCTGGCCTCCTGCCAGGCCTGAGAACACAGCTTCTTTTGTGGGCTCCTTGCTCAGGGATCCTGGGCTTCCAGCCACTGTAAATGGAAGTGGCAGGTCCAAATTGAGAGGCTGGTCTCACAGGACACTCTTTCCCCCAGGTTAGGGTCAGAGAGCTTTTAGGGAAACCTGGAGGGTCAGCCAGTCCATATCTTGGCCCTGGAGAGCCTGCACTGGCACCGTTTTGGAATGCTAGGACCTCAAAGCTACTATTTAAAGGAGCTTCTTAACTACGATTCCACTTTGTTAGTGTCTCCTAAACAGAAAGTTCTCCACCATTGGAGGGTTATGTCCAAGAAATTGGCTTGAAGACCCTTAAGGGGGAAATGTAGAATTTTGTGGATTAAATTGGGCATTTCTAACCCTCAGATTCGAATTAAGCATAAGTTCAGGTAGGCAGAAGAAATAGTGTAATTAGCAAGTGGGCAGTGAGTTGTTGATGTAAGTTGATGCATAATTGATAGTCCAATAAATGTTAGAGTCTTGCCCCCTGTAAGCATTCCAGTGAAATCTAGCTCAACTCAGCAAGTAAGGTCAGTAGAAGCAGTGTCCCTTCAACACAGAGAGACCTCCCTCAAGTCCCCCACCGAGAAAGGTCAGCTCTGACTCTGACACACCTGTGTTTTCAGTTCTCCCACCTGGTGGTCTCTTTCTCTCCACTTCCCCAACTCCCTGAACTCAGAGCGCTCATGAAACTTTCGCCCTCTGCCCATCACCAGAGGATGTGACAAAGAACTCATTAATAATTAACTCAGCAGAAGAGAGCAGGTGTTGCAATCCCAGATCCTCAGAGGAGAAAAGGCAGGGCAGGTGTGCGGTGGGCCTCACCATGAGTAGCTGGGGCCCCTTAAATCCTCCTCCTCCTCCCTTTATCTGAGGCCATGAGCCCAGGTAAATACACATTCGGTGTCTCAGACTTCACAGGCTTGGGCAGGTCCTGGAGTGGTTTGGCTTCGCAGGAGGGACATGCCAATTGCTGTGCTTGGCTCTCCCCTACACTCCCGGCAAAGTCCAGGAAGCTGTTTATGCAGACCCCCAAGAGCAGCCCAGCCAGCCTCACTCCTGAGGGACACTGATCATTTCCAAGTGGGGATCCAGTCCCCCAAGAACTCCAGGGCTCCAGGCACAAGCTCTGGAGCTTCAGAACCCAATTTGTTCAGTCAAGTAGCCTAAAATAGAGCCTGAGGCCAGATCAGGGTCCAGCTAAGATTAAAGGGGTGTGGTACTGTGGCTGGAGCCCCTCAGCCTCCCCTGTGTGCACACCTTTCCTCTCTCCCTGCGCCCATCCTCCTACAACAGAGCACTTATCTGCCCTAGAGCCTTGACTTATTAGAATGTGTGCTCAGGAAAGTGGCTAGTGAAGTCATCCCAGACTTCAGTATCTTTCAAACCTCATCACTCCATCAGCAAATTCGGTCAGCTCTGCCTTCCAATAATAATCAGAATCTACTTCTTCCCTCCTGGCCTGAGCCTCTTTTCCTGGGACGTCTGCAACAGCCTCCTCACTGATATACAGTCAAGTCCCAACACAGCAGGTTATGCACCCCGAGCTCAGAATCTTCACATGCCCCTATCCCACTCAGGGCCAAGGCCAGAGCTTTTTCAGAGTCTAGGGGACCCTACACCACCTTCCTCCCATTACTCTTCACCTCTACTACAATGGCCTCTATCCCTGTCTTAGCTCAGGCTTAGGGCTTTGGCTCCAGCTGCTTCTGCTGCCTGGAACGGTCTTGCCCCTGGATATCTACAAAGCTAACTCTCTGACCTCTTTCAAAGTCTTTGTTCAGATCCTAACTTCTCAATGAGGCCTATCCTAAACACACTATTAAAATTACAGCCAACTTCCCTGCCCCATCCCTGTCCCCCATCCTAACACTCCTAACCCCACCTACCCTATATTTTGGTGAGTTATTTATTTACTTATTTGGTAGGGGGGCATCATGTACCAGCTTCTAACCAACTATATAATTTATCTGCTTATGTTTATTTTCTGTCTCTTCCCAACTAGAATGTAATATCCAAGAAGGCAGAGATTTCTATCTTATTCACTACTGTTTTCCAAGTGCCTGGCACATAGTAGGTGCTCAATACTTGTGGAATGAATGGATCCACACTAAAGTACAAACAATTGATACAGTTCAATGCATCCCCTGTGCCGTTGATGTGTAGTTGCATTCTCAGAGGGGACAATCCAGGCTTTGGGCACTGGGATGGATTACTAATAGTGGAAATTCCTGTATCAGCCAGAGTGCGGAGGTCTTTTTTGAGGCACCTATCTCCAATTACAGAAATGTCACCATATTGACAGAGGCAGTCTCCTTCTTTGCCTGCTTCTCAGTCATTCCTGGCAATGTCTCTGACAGGGTGTGGGGGTGGCATTATAAGCTACTGTGTCTATTATCCATCTGTCAGGCTCAAACCGTCCAAGTCGCTAGGGAGATCAGCCAAGATCTGATCAATCAGAGATCAAGGGATAGGGAACAAAGGAAGGAGAAAAGGAGGAAGAAAAGGAGAGAGAAGAGGTTCAGGGGGCATAGGAGAACCTGGTCCAGGCTGTGACTCTCAGGTGTTGGAGGAAGGGGCACCAGGTGACTCAAGCTCAGGCCACACCTGAATACAGTGAATCATGGCTGAGTCCTCGTCTGTGGGACAGGGTGGACTCCAGGAACGGCCCTGGGGATTTGCCATGTGACTAAAGCTTGCGTTGCCCTGCACTACAACACAACTGCTCAGCTGTCCAGACAACTGGTCACACTCTTCTCTGTGCCTCCCCAGGAACCAGGGAGAGAAAGTGGGCCTGGTGTGTTACGGAGGCACAGATAGGAGCCCAGCCTCAGGAGAGGGGAGGCTAAGCAGGACAGAAGTCGCCTGTCATGAGTGACTCTTCCATAGCCCTTCTCCTCTCCCCACCCTCACCTATCCAACCTGAATGTTTACCCAGTGGACAACTGTGCATGCAGCTTGAGCCCGAGGACTGGGAGCAATCAGGCAATCGGCCTAAAATCACTACAGCTGATATCTGCTGAGTGCTTGCTGTGCCCAGGCACTGTTCTGAGCCCTTTGCATGTATCCACTCACTTAATACCCACCACAACTCTGTGGGGATAGACAATTATCTTTATCTTGCAGACAAGGAAAATGAGGCACATTTTCGATAACTTGGCCTTGGCTAGTAACTGGGGATTTGAGCCCATGCCATTTTGCTCCAGCACGCATATTCTTAACCATTACACAGGGCCAAAGATGGGCCATATCACCTGAACTCCCAGAGTGCACCCTGGCTAATCCTTGGCCAGAGTTCACCAGACTCTGGACCTCATGTCTCCCAATGTCTAAAAACTCCTCTTTGTTGGCCAGGCGCCGTAGCTCACGCCTGTAATCCCAGTACTTTGGGAGGCCAAGGTGGTTGGATAACTTGAGGTCAGGAGTTCGAAACCAGCCTGGCCAACGTGGTGTAACCCCGTCTCTACTAAAAATACAAAAATTAGCTGGGCATGGTTGTGGGTGCCTATAATCCCAGCTACTCGGGAGGCTGAGGCAGGAGAATCGCTTGAACCCAGGAGATGGAGGTTGCAGTGAGCCGAGATTGGGCCACTGCACTCCTGCCTGGGCAACAGAGTGAGACCCTGTCTTAAAACAACAACAACAACAAAAAACCTCCTCTTTGTGCCCTTGTTCCAAACCTAGGAGCACTGATACTGTCTAGGGGCTCCAGGAGTGACACTGATGCTGTAGAGACATCTAGAACAAACCCCACCAGGTGCTACCTCCTTATTTGTTTTCCTTATTGACAACCTCTCTTCTATGGGCACAGATGGAGAAGGTGCTGGCCTCCAGTTCTTCCATCTCAGAGGCTCCAGCACATACCAGCAGGGTTTCCTCCTTCATACCAACAGGGGTGGCTCTGACTAAGGACAGGAGCACGCCAGGAGGCGTGGACAGAAGGTGACCGCAACATTCTGGTGAGCTGACAAGGTGAAGCAGAGGACGTGACGAGAGGATGACACAACTTCCCCTTTGCCAAAGGAAGGAGATCCCCTGCCCTGAGGTCAAGAGCCTGGGCCACCTCACAGGCTACAGCTCCTTCTGCTCTGTCTCCCAGTGTGCCCTCCAAATGGCCCAGCCCTCCTGAGGGGTACAGCCCAGTACAGCCTACAGCCTGGTGGAGCCATATGCTGGCCCATGGCTGGCTGGCTCCCAGAGAAGACAGAAGAATCTTTTCATTCTTACCACCTCCATCCCCTCCCATATTTCCTGACATTCCTCTGGCAGACAGGCTGGCCCATCGCCACACCCCCTCCTCTAACCCCAGTCACCTCTGTCTCTATTCTGTGATTCTATTTGGTCATTGACCTCTGGGGATTAGGTTATTGGGATCTAAGTCCGACCTTTATGACCTTTGGATAACATTTGCCATGTGTAGTTGGCCATGTGGCCATGGTCCAGCCTCCATGAGAGGAGAGAGACATACAGCTGTCTGAAGGGGCACATAGCCACGTGGCATGGTGGGTCTGACAGGTCGGGAGCTTCTGGGGAAGAAGAAGGGAAAGCAATGGCTGAGAGCGAGCTGGGGCTTTTGTGTCCTGAAATCTGCTCTTGAAGCTCTCACAGGGCTGCCCCACAGGACTTTCAAATTCTAAATATGATCCCTGAAAGGGCTACTAGACAGACAAACTAAGTGTCCTAACACGTAGTTTAAATTGGCATTAGTTTAAATTGGCATTTGATGGCTGAGTATGGAGAAATAAGCACCTTGTGGTTTGATGGGGAAGAGAGAATGGGTGCGTCTGGCTTCTTGTCTGGAATCAACACCACCTAAGGGCTTTTAATCAGCACCTGCCCACAGCGCCTGTGGCTACACCGGGGTATGTGTATGGACTTGACCGTAGCTCTGCTCTGCTACTCAATAGAATTGTAAACTTGGGCAAAATCCTCTCTGAACCTCTGTTTCATTATTTATAATTAAAGGTATTAGATTCTAATGGTTCTTACTCAGGCTGCCCCTCAGAATTACTTGGAGAACATAATATATCACATACCAAGACCAGGCCTCACCCAGAGAATTATTCACTGGCAGACGGGCAGAGACATATGTTTTTCAAGCTCCCTAGATGATTCTAATGTGCAGCCAGGGTTGGGAAACACTGAAGCCCCCTCCAGCTATAAGATGCTGTGCCCTCAGGGTGGGGTGGTGCAGGACAGTTGTTAAAAGCCTAGACTTGAGAGATGAAGGCTCAAGTCCTGGTTCTGCACTCACTATCTGTGTGACTTTGGACAGCTCGTTTAATCTCCGATAGTCCCATTCCTGCAATGGGAATAATGACAAATCTACCTCATGGATACTGTGAAGATTAAAAGAAACATGCATAATTGTCAGCAAAGTGCCTGGCTAGGGCCATGCTCTACAAAGGGTGTCTGACCCCATGTGTGCTTCACACACAGGTATTGGGGGCTATGATCAGCAGTCTTTGCAGCTGCTAACACAAAGCAACTAACACTCCCATCCAGATGGCTCATAAGTCACTCACTGGGCAATGAGCAGGCTTGGGCCATTCCTCTTCTCCTCCTCCAGGGAAGCCCCAGGCCCCAAGCTGAGCATCTGTGCTTTGCGCATTCCACCTTATTCCTTAGGAGCTGTAAACTCCCCAGTAGCCATGACCTGGACCAGAAAGAAAGAGAAGACCCCCAGGGGGACCAGTCAGAGCTAAGCTGACTTAGTAGGAGGATGCTTCCAGCCTTGCTGGATAGGGAGAGACAATGGGTGTGAGGGGAGGGAGTGTTTACAAACACAGAGGACAGAGGACAGAGGGGCAAGTATCAGCTAATGGACTTATTGTTTTATGGCCTTCAAGAGTTAGTAAAACCAGAGTCCAACATCTGATTTAAAAAAAGAAAGAAGGCCGGGCGCCGTGGCTCATGCCTGTAATCCCAGCACTTTGGGAGGCTGAGGTGGACAGATCACAAGATCAGGAGATGGAGACCATCCTGGCTAACACGATGAAACCCCGTCTCTACTAAAAATACAAAAAATTAGCCGGGCATGGTGGTGGGCACCTATAGTCCCAGCTACTCGGGAGGCTGAGGCAGGAGAATGGCGTGCATCCGCGAGGCGGAGCTTGCAGTGAGCCAAGATTGCGCCACTGCACTCCAGCCTGGGCAACAGAGCGAGACTCCGTCTCAAAAAAAAAAAAAAGAAGAAAGAAAGAAAAAAAAGGAGTCAAAGCTAGTCTGGACAGCAGGTTTGCAACTGAACTCAGGATAATCGCCAGGAAGACTGATGGCAGTAGAGAAAAGGCACTTCTTCTCCCGGGGCCCCTGCCTTCACCTATCAGACAAAGGTGATGACTCTTTACTCAATTTAACTCTTTCCCTTTCAAACAGAATTCAAAATTGCCCCCTTTTGATCTAAATATCATAAAAAGATTTTTATAACTTTGGAAAATGTTTAGGAGGTACTACTAGCTGGCAGAAAAAAGGAAAAAAATTTACCCCAAAATCTACTTCACTCTAAAGAAAGAAGTACTCAGAAAATAAATATAATGTTAACATTTCTCTTCCCTTTCTATTTCTCTGTGTGCTCTCTTCTTCCACAATGAGCGTATTTTACTAGAATAATCAGTGACAGTAAGGTAAAAAGATTTAGGATGAGAAGAGTAAATCTTGTTATTACAAGTGATCTTTGATTAGTCATTCCTCTCTCTGCTCCCTCCTTGACCTGAATGCCCTTTCACTAAACCCACTGACTGCCTGAGAGTATGCTGTGTACGTTTTCTGCATCACTGCAGATTTTGTAAGATAGGGTTTTCCGTTTTCAAGAAGTATTGCTTCCTGAGGCAGGATTTGTTACGCCAAGAGAGCACTTAGCACAGTTCCTCAATAAATGTTGTGGGAGGAAGGAAAGAAGACAGGAAGGGAGGGAGGACTGAACACACGAGTAACTACCAGCACCTTATTTTCCTGCTTCCTAACTGCTTGTATGTATGAGGACAAACCAAAAAGAAAGAACTAGAGTCAATTCTCGTGTATCTACATTTTGGGAGAAAGAAGTAAGGATAACTAAAATTACTACTCTCGTCCAAATTTGCTTCTCCCATGGACATCTCCCAGGATAATGACTTTGATTTTTCCCATTGCTCACTCAGAACTCTGTACACCCAGCAGCTCATATTGTTCAAGTATAAATGTATATATATGCCCAAGATTGTGATGTTATGTCTCTATGTCATATTTGTGTACTGTTTCCAACAAAAGACCATGACTCCTTGTAGCTAGGATTGCCAAATAAAAGAATCCCAGTTAAAACTGGATCTCGGAATACTTTGTTGGTGTAAGTAGGTTCCAAATATTGCATAGGGAATACTTATACTAAAATACGTATTGTTTATCAGAAATTTTACTGAGATTTCTGTCTTTTTATTTGCTATATCTGGCAACCTCACTCGCAGTACGTTGTTTATCCAGTTCCATGACTGCCAGATTTTTTCCTAACCTGGTCATCTTCCTCTAGAAAGTCCCCCATCTGTTAGTAATCTTCCAAAATATAACGGTTAGAAATGAGCACAGGTGCCCTGGGTTTCAGATGCCGTGACATCATGGTGGCATCCTCTGGGTAAGGGCCCCTTTGTCAAAGGCCACTCCAGGTGAAGGACTGAGAACTGAACCAACAGTGCAGGGAGAAGCCTGTCCCTCCATCATCAGGAGATGGCATGTGTGCTTCTTGGATATTAGAGACTGTATTTACCCCTTTAAGTACTACACCAGAAAGAAATATCTGTGTTTTTCTGAAAGAACAGAAGGAAGCAAAATATTTTTCCAACTCCTCCTATGAACCAGGCCCCATGGTAAGAAATGTATACACAATACCTTGTTTAGGAATCCCTGTGGTCCTTTAAGATGACTCTTTCAGGAAGATCTTATACTCCCCTTTTTACAACGTCACCATTAAGTAGCTTGCACAAGATCACAGAGCTAATACTTTAGGATATGCTTTGCTACAGTAATAAATCAAACACAAAATCTCAGCAGCTTAACATAACAAAAGTTTATTTGTGGTTCACACAAGGAAACATGCAAGACAATGGTGAGAAGAGGGATCCTCTGTTCCATACCATCACTTAGGCATTTCTGCCATCTTGTAGCTGCACCAACCAGGACACACAGCCTTAAAGATCATGGCAGCAAGGTCAGATAGGGCATGGCAGACCTCTCCCACTTATTCCACACTTCAGCTCTGAAATGACACAATCAATCTGGCTTACAACTCATTGACTGGAACTACTCACAGGGGTCTTAGGTAATTTTCCTATGTGCCCAAAAGAGGAAAACAAAGCAGGGCATGGTAAACACATAGCATCGTCCACCACAACCAGTATATAGTGAAACCAGAATTCAATAGCAGAATTTTTTTTTTTTTTTTTGAGACGGAGTTTCGCACTGTCACCCAGGCTGGAGTGCAATGGTGTCATCCCGGCTCACTGCAACCTCTGCCTCCTTGGTTCAAGCAATTCTCCTGCCTCAGCCTCCTGAGTAGCTGGGATTACAAGCGCCCAACGCTACGCCTGGCTAATTTGTGTATTTTTAGTAGAGATGGGTTTCGCCATGTTGGCCAAGCTGGTCTCGAACTCCTGACTTCAGGTGATCAGCCCACCTCGGCCTCCCAAAATGCTGGGATTACAGGCATGAGCTACTGCGCCCAGCCTCAATAGAAGATTTTTAAGTTTCCAAAGTCTGTGTTCTTTCCACTACACTTGGCTTACCAAGACTGAGGGAATCTACTTGTCGCCAAAAGGAAATGACATATGGGACAATTTATAGAAAAGGCAATCTCAAGGAAACTGGTAGGAAAAGCTGCTGTGGTGAATATTCTATATTTGCAAAACCTAGAACACGACAAGAATGCTCTCCTGAAAAACCTTAAAAACATAGATGAGACCTCTGCAAATTAAAGCCAGAGGATAAATATTTATGAGACATGTATGCCACCTCTTCAGTCTCTTAAAGACATACCACTGGAAGTGGGAGAAAATCAAGGAGAAGATTCTGGTCTGTTGCAGGGTGATCGGTGATTCTGGTTTGCTCAGGACTCTCATCGTTTTAGCACTGAAAGTACCACATCCCAGAAAACCCATCAGTCCCAGGCAAACTGGAATACTTGATCACTCTGTTTGGACAGTAATACTTTTTCTCCAAGTTTTTAGAAGTGTTACCTCAGGTGGCTCAGTAAACTCTGCATGAAGATGCACAATGATCTGAGAAAGTAAAGTTTGCCTCAAGTCCAGGAAAAACTTGGATGGAAACAGCACATGGGAATAGCAGTTCCTTTCAGGGACTTGGGGAAGAAAATAGTATTGCCAGTATGGCTTTTGTGCAGGAGACTCTACTCCACTGCTGCGGCCTGACGTGCAGGAAGCTTTTCCCAGCCAAATCACACCACAAACCCATATTGAGCTTGTAGAAACTTTAACAACTCTGTCTTTTTCGAGCCAAATACTGTTAAAACAGGTTGTTCACTCTTGAATTTGGTGTCATTCTTAAGATACATGTGAGCATACACACACACAGGCGCACACATACCTTTGCACTTTTTCCTGCTACATTTTATCTTGTTAGTTTTGGCTTGTTCTCCATTTGCTAGGCGTTGGATTTGGTATGGACTTTATCCTGCATACTCTCCATCATCTCCAGGTTAAAGTCCAAAGTCTTCAGCCAGGTACCCAGGGTCCAGCTGAAAAAGTTGCATTTTAGGCCCTAACTCACACAACCCCCTTCACAGACATGCTTTGATTTAGTCATCTGCTCTCTCAACCACACTTAGGCTTGATTCATCCAACTCTGCCTGTCTACACTGCCCTCTCCACCTCCTGTATACTTGGCAAGATCCTAAATCCAAGACTCAGATCAGATTCCTGAATCAGCAGTGGCTTCTCTGGCATTCTCTGTAAATTCTTCCCAAACTCTGGCAAGTGGACCTTGACCTATACAACTCCATCGGCAAACAGTTCCATTCTGTTTTGTCAGTCTCTTTTCTAAATATCTCAAAGTTGCATACTTACGCTTGTTCAATGTTAATTATTTTGTGATTTGTCCCCAAACATGGATTATAAAATCCTTGAAGTCAAGGAGAATTCTTGAGTTCATAGCCCAGTGTTTGCACATAATAGGTGCTCAATAAGCAGATACTGATTTCTTAGTAGGAACTCTTAAGGCAAAAGAAAACCATAAAAAGTGCTTGAAGAGTATGATTCCATGAATATTACCCCATAATTCCCTCTTGGGACAACTTAGCAAGAAAATCACCCAGAAAAAAAATAATTTTTCCCCTAAAAATTGGAACCTGAGAAAATTCATGATGAACTGATCCACTCATCAGCAGAATTTCAACCCTATGCAGCCTTGAGTTACATGCCAACTTCCTACTCTATCTAACCTAGCTGGTACTTACAAATGGGGAGAACCAAACTAGCAGTACTTTTGGTATTTGAAACTGAAATAGTTCTGGGATCAGGCCATAGATTTTAGTCACTCGAGCCTTTAAGATCCAGCTTTTAGAACCTTGAGAATGAAAGACGTAAATGTGGGTTTAGGGGAGAGGAGGGCACAGATGGACAGAGGATCTTAGGAATCAAGTACCCCTAAACATGTTTTAAGAATTCTGTGTCACTCCCAAAGAATTAGGCAACATGTGTATTAAAAAGGTCTAACATTTGCTGTCTATCCCTGTGCTGCCAATGATAATGTGTTCCACTGTTAGTTTCTGGCCCGCTGCAGCCCTTGGCCAATGAGCATCAAAGCCAATACGCTGAGAAGCCCCGCCCCACAACCAAATGGGGTCTAGGAATGTTTGTTTCTTTAAGTCCATTGCCTGGGGATCAAGAGTATCCCAGGAGCTGACATGAGCATTGAGGGGCAGCTTCTCTCACCAACAGTCCCTCTGTGTGTTCCAACTGCTGCTTTTCTGGCCCTTCTGTCTAGATCTTTGACAGTGCCTGTTATCCTTTTAGTTGTTCTGGGAGTCTGAATCTCCTATCTGAATCCTCCTCGGCAAATCAGTCTGCATATTGCATATTGATACTCTTCCACCCCCAGCTTCTGTCTGGTATTCACTCTCAGGGCCTGGACTTTTCTTCTAGTTTTCCTCATCACATTTCAGCAGACCCTTCTGACTTATAACCTAGAAACAGAAAAACACCCAGAACCAATCATTCATTCAACAAATATTTATTGAGTGCCCACCCAATGCCAGGAACCCAGCAACATAGTAGTAAACAACTCACACACAATCATTATCCAGAGGAAGTCTACTGTGTCATGGGACACAGACATTAAACACATAATTACCAAATAACTTATTAATTTTGCAACCAGAATAACCTCGACTTCTTTAGCCATCCAAGAGTCACTCTTTCCTCTACTATCCAAATAACAATAATTCTGGGAATTCTAAAGTTAGATGCTAATGTACAAATCCATTCTAGTTGTTGCTGCCCCCAAACACTTCTAGCTTTCTTATCACCATTTCTCTATGCTGTCACCAATCTCTCTTGCTTATCTTGGCCCCCAAAGCAGAGCATGAACACATGGTCTTTCCTCAATTTTCCAAATAACAAAACACTTAGCTGTTGAGTTTAAGAAACTTTACTGAAAGTTTGGAGAAGACACAGGGAAATGACTATCCAAAAGTAAGTATCAGCTCTCACCACACCCAGAATCCATGCAACATCACAGCATGTTCTTTCTGCCATATCCTGAGCTCTGAGACTTCACCAGGTTGCAGAGGCCATGGCCCTCCCTCTTTCAACAACAGTCCTCTCTTTCTATGAATTCACTTCTCCCTTCCCACCCCATGAAGAAAGTGTCTTACAAGGTAACAACCCAAATGAGTCTATCTGCCTTGGGATTATAATCTACTCTGTGCTGCTTGCCATCCATGAGCCTACATTCATTCATTCATTCATTCAGGAACTATCACTTACTTTGTATCAGGCATTGCACTAGGTGAGGAGGTTATAGCAACAAATAAGACAGACAGGACCCTCCTTCATAAAGAAGACAAACAATAAGCTAGTAAACTAAAAACTATACCTGACAATTACAAATTTTGATGCTTTCTATGAAATACGAGAAAACCAGAATGGTGTGATAGATGGGTCTCAGGAAGGGAAGAATGCCACTTTAGAAAGGACAGATAAGAGAAGTCCCCCTGAGAAGGTGACATTTGGGATGAGTCCAAAAGATTTAGGTCTGGATTCCCCAAAACAAGCTAAGCGTATATTTAAGGTACTGGTAAGGTAGAAGCACCAAAATTTCCTTTGAAAATGTTTATTTTTATACATCAAAAAAGACATGGAAGTAGACCCCTTAGGAAAATGAGAATGCTGTAGGCCCCTCCTTATACATATTTTAAAAATGTAATATTGTGTTTATTTTTATTTAGATGGGCAGTGTAGAGGACCCTTAATCTTTCCAGGGTTTAGGATCTCTAAAGTCATACTCAATCCCCAGAATATGCCAGGAAGGGGTGTTCTAGGCAGAGAAGGAACAAGCACAAAAGTTCAGTGGCAGCAAAGAGCTTGGCCTCTTCTAGGGGCAGGAAGAAGGGCTGAAAACAGCATGAGCAAGGTTAGGGGTAAAAGCTAGGGTTGGGGGAGCAGACAGGGGCTAGGTCACATAGAGGAAATGGTTCTCAACTCTAGTTATGTATGAAAAGTCCTTGGAATATTCTACCATTTTCTGATGCCTGGGCCCTACTTCAGGAGATTTAACTGACCTGGAATGGGGTTGAGGAATTGGTATTTTTTTTAAGTTTCTCAAGTGATTCTAACATGTAACCAGAGTAAGAAAACATTGACGTGGGGCCTTGGAACCAGCCAGAGGGACACAGTGTTGAATGGTGAAGAACATGGACCCTGGAACCAGATTATCTGGTTTTGAGTCCCATCCCCACCACTGACTAGCCGTTTGATTCCCAGGCACTTTGCAAAAGCTTTCTGTTCTTCAATTTCCTCACCTATAAACATAGGGATATTAGTTTACCTACCTCATAGAGCTGTTTGTAGGCCTAGTAAGTTAATACATAGAAAGGTCTCAGAAGGCACACACTGAAGATGCAGTAACTTACTAAAATAGCTGTGACTATCCTATGCTCTTCTAGAGATGGAAAGGGGTGGATGGAGTCAAGGTGTCAATTTGATACAACTAACAGGACTTGCTGAAAAACTGGAAGAGGGAGATGAGAGGGGGAAAAAGGAATAAAAGATAGCTTCCATGTTTGGGGTTTTAGCAATTGGGTGGAAAGTGATGCTGTGTCCCAAGATGGGGAAGACTAGGAGGTAAACAAGTTTTGAAGAAAAAAAATCAAGAATTTCATCTGGCATGCATTAACTTAAAGACACCCTATTAGATATCCAAGAAGAGATGCAAATCAGACAATATGTAAGCCTGGAGCTCAGGAGAGAAACAAATTTCAGATTCATTAGCGTATAGAGCTGTCCTGTCCAATAGAGTAGCCACCAACCACACATAGGGGGCTATTTAATTTAAATTTAGATTAATTAAACAAAATTAAACATTCAGGCCACCAGTTTTCACCACATTTCAACTGCTTAAGAGCCTCATGTAGCTAGTGGCTACCATATTGGACAGCATAGATATGCAACGTTTCCATTGCTGCAGAAAGTTCTGTAGAGCACTGAAGGAGTCTCAAACCATGGAACTGGAGGAAGTCATCTAGGAAGTAGTCCATGATTCTGGCTACACACTAAAATCACCTCCAGGAATTCAGAGTTGATTTGTCTTGGGGAAGTCTCAGGCATTGGTAGTTTTTAATAACCCAGGACGATTGTAAAGTGGAGCCAGGGCTGAGAACAACTGACCCAGGGAAATAATGCTGGAGAAGAAAGGAATCATGGGAGGGCCTGGATTGCTGCAACAGTAGGGGCAGTGACCTCAGAACTAATCTTTCTCTAGAGCTCCTGATTCATGATTCACATACAACTATCTGATGAACATCTTTGCCTGCATGTCCCATAAACAGCCCAAACTCAATAAATCCAAGATGGAACTCATTTTTCTCACCAGAGGTGTTCTTCCTCTTCTCATTCCCACACTTGGGAGTCACCCCAGTGACTCCCAAGCCCCAAGTGACTCCTCTTCCACAGCACAAGTCTGCCAGGTTTTCTGATTTATCACTCAGTCTGTCTCTTTCTCTCCCCATTACCTCTGTTTTGGCCCAGTTCTTCATGGTCTCCTGCCTGAATTACTGTAACGACATCTCACTAGCTGCCTCTAGTTTTGCCCCTCCCTTAACCATCCTGCACTCTGCCACAGTGATCTACTTAAAATGCCAATCTTGTAGTGTTTTGCTGTGTAAAATGTATCAGTGTCTCTCATTGCCTATAGGATATAGTTCAGTCGAAGATAGATTGGTCGCTATGTATCAAACACCTCAAAGGAACTATGCACTGCCCTAGTTCTGAGAACACTGCACTGAGCAAGACAGAGAGCGCTCCTGAGTAGAACTGCAGCCCTGAAATGGGGACAGACAACAGAGTTATGAAAAGGAAAGTGAGGTGGCCATGGGAGCATGCAGCAAAGGGAACTGGCCTTATCTAGGTGACAAGAAAGGTCTTCCCTGAGGAAATGAGAGAACAGTGACACTTGGAGGATGAGTAAGAGTTCACCAGACCACAGGGGATGAAGAAAGTGCTCTCTCCACATGGAAAGAACTACATGGGGAAGAACCTGCGTCTGCAAAGGAACAGAACAGTGTGACTGGCACCCAGAGAGTGAGGGTTGAGGGATATGGGATGAAGCTGGAAAAGCAGACAAGGACAGGATGGTGGGTGGCTTATATGCCATGCAAAGAATCTGGGGCATTCCAAAGGGCAAAGTGGGGATCCACTGAATGATTTTATTTTTTTTTTATTCCACGAACTTTTTGCTAACCACTGAAGGATTTGAAAGAGAAGAGTGACATGGCCAAGTCTGCACTTTTTAAAAAGACTACACTGGCTTGAAGTGGAGTAGAGTGGCCAAAACCTGAGGCAGAGAGACCAGCTGTGAGGCCATACTAAATGGTCTGGGGGAGGCAATGAGATCTTAGACTAGAAGGGTGGCAGAGGAGATAGAAAGCAGATTGAATTAACAGATGTTTAAGAGGTAGAATGATAAGTCTTGGTGATTTTTTTTTTTTTTTTTTTTGAGACGGATTCTCGCTCTGTCGCCCCAGGCTGGAGTGCAGTGGTGCAATCTAGGCTCACTGCAAGCTCCGCCTCCCGGGTTCACGCCATTCTCCTGCCTCAGCCTCTCGAGTGGCTGGGACTACAGGCACCCGCCACCAAACCCAGCTAATTTTTTGTATTTTTAGTAGAGATGGGGTTTCACTGTGTTAGCCAGGATGGTCTTGATCTCCTGACCTCGTGATCCACCCGCCTCAGCCTCCCAAAGTGCTGGGATTACAGACGTGAGCCACAAGTCTTGGTGATTTTTCACATTGGAGAGGTGATGGAGAGCAAGGAGGAAAAGATGGCTCCTTGACTTCAAACCTGAGCTGCTAGGTGAATGGTGCAGCTTAGGTTAAGAAAGATGGTTACAAGTTTATGGGGTAGAAATATTGAATTTGGCTTTAGACACAGTAATTCTGATACCTGCAAGACATCCAAGTCAAAATGTAGAATAGGTAGAGGGATACACAGGTCTAGAGCTCAGACTTGTAGGTCATCTGTGTAGAAGCAGCAATGGAAGCCCTGGCAGTAAATTAAATCACTGAAGAGAGCATGTGGAATAAGAAAAGGGGCTCCAGGACTGAGTCCTGAGAAATGCTGACATTTGTAGGTTAGATAAAGAGGACAATTGAGATAAAGATCCTGAGTTTTGTCCAGAATAGGGTAAGAGGAAAACCAGCAGAATATGGTATCGTGGAAGCAAAGGAGAAATGTGTTTCTAGAAGGGAGTGGTCAGCAATTCCTAGGCATGGGATGAATAAGTGATTATTGATACAACTGCTTATTATCTGGCTCCTACTTACTGCTTCCTGCTCATTTTCTGCCATTTCCCAAAATCCATCCTTTATGATTTAACACCAACTTGTCTAACTTCTCTTGGACCATGTGATGCTTTATCTTTCATCCTCCCTTTTCACATGCAGTCCCATCTCATTCAAGGCCTCCCCATGCCCTGAACAACACCCTGTCCCAGAACCACCTGGTGAACACCATCCATCCTTTAACATCCCAAGCCTCTCAGGAATCATTTACCCTTAGGCCTTCTTTGACTACCTCCTCCCCAAAGGGCATCAATACCTGTCTCATTCTGTGCTTTTTGTTCATCTGGTATAAATTTCTATTACGGTGCCTTTCCCAATATACAATAATAACTCGTTTACAGTCTGTGTCCTCTACTTCACTATAAGCTTCTTGAGGGCAAATGCAGTTTGTATTCTGCATTTTTTTTTTTTTTTTGAAACAGAGTCTTGCTCTGTCACCAGGCTGGAGTACAGAGGCATGATCTCGGCTCACTGCAACCTCCACCTCCTGGGTTCAAGTGATTCTCCTGCTTCAGCCTCCCATGTAACTGGGATTACAGGCATGTGCCACCACACCCGGCTAATTTTTGTATTTTTAGTAGAGACAGGGTTTCATCATGTTGCCCAGGATGGTCTTGATCTCCCAGCCTCCTGATCCGCCCGTCTTGTCCTCCCAAAGTGCTGGGATTACAGGTGTGAGCCATCACACATTCTGCTTCCTATAACTATGCTTAACACAGTGTCAGGTACATGGCTGGCTTCAACAAATATTTTTGGACCTTACTAGAAGCTACCTAAATGTCACCTAAGGAATGCAAATGTCCCGGGCTGGGATAAAGCATCATGGAAATTGCCGACGTAGAGCAAGAGGCAAAGACAATTGAATAATAACAGCCATCATTTAATGATTGCTTCATTTGTGCCAGAAACTGCCTAAGTCCCTTACAGAGCTCTATCTCATTCACTCTTCATCATATCTGTTTCATAGGGGCTTATCATCATCACCACACCCCATTTAATAGGGGCTATCATAACTCTCACTTCACAGATACGGAAGTAGAAGTTATAGAAGTTAAGTCACTTGCCCAAGGTCAGGCCTTAGCAAATGGAGGAGTCAGGATTTGGAGGAACCCAGGTTTGCTTGACTTTAGAGCCCTATACCCTTAAGACCAATTGGCATTTGAGCTTGGGGAAAATTCCTTGTGCTGACTCAAACTTGTAAAGTATATTGTTTAATCTGGAAGTGGTATGTAGGCAGCAGGGTGCAGGTAATTCTAACCACACCACCCATGGCTATTCAAGGCTTCCAGCACAGTCTGCATGCCCCAGCAGCTGGTGGCTCTGCTTGACCAAAAGTTATGAAGGACAAAAGCAGAATGCCTATAAAGTCTGTTCCTTTGCCTTGATTTGTACCACGGGCAGGCTGGAGGGTGCCCAGAGTGAGCCAATGGCTACAATGTCAGACACTAAGTTGGGAGTGGAAGTGAAAGGTGAGGAGACCAGAGTGGAGGAAACTAAGCCAAGTTGCCAGGTCTTGGGCAATTTCAACACCAAGGCTCTGAGCCAAGGACAGGCTACTGTGCTTGAAATAACTTCCCAAGAGAGCCTTAACTGGTCACTTTGCCCTCTCTATCTCAGCACTGACTTTTAGGTCAATGTAACTAATATTGATTAGCCTCCTATTCTATGTTAACACCATGAAAGATACAAAGCTTTTGTCTTCCACAGAGCTGAGGCAAGCCCACAGGAAACAATGACAGAGTTGTACAAAACGGTAATCCATCCAGTGCCAGCCTGTAGAGTACAAGCCCCAAAGGCAACTGAAATTCACAGAAAGGAGAGATCAAGGTGTGCTGCCATGGGCAGTGGTAGCTTCTTGGAGCACAGGAAATTGAACTTGACCTCAAGGAAGAAAGGAAGACAAAGTAGAAAGAGGACAGCATTTCAGGTAGAAACAACTGTGTGAGCAAAAATAAATGAAGCAGCAGCAATGCGAATGAATTGTTTCTTGGCCTGTGAAGAAACCTCTCTGTGGAGCAAAGGGCTATTGTGGGAGAAGAACAGGAGAAGATCGGACCATAGAGAGCCTGAATTCCAAGAATACTAAATCAAGCAAATTCAACATGCAGGATCCAGGAGTCCATTATGTGGGCAATGAGAAATGATCTTGGCCTTTAAACAGGCAGTTGACAATAAAAAATTAAATTTTAGGAAGATTCATTTGGTGGTAGTGTTTAAGATGGATTAGAGGAGAAAGGATTAAAAGCAAAAAAACTGTCCCCTCAAAAACCTGAATGCTTCTTTAAGCATCTACTAAAAGTTGGACTGCATTCAAAAACAAACAAACAAACAAACAAAAAACAGTCCCTTCCCTGCCAGGCTTCACAGTCCATGGAAAAGCCATTCATTAATCCCATAGTTACCCATTAAGGACCTATTATGTGCTAAGAATTATACTGGGCACTGGGGACACAGTGAGGAGCAAACCAAAGTCCCTATCCTCATGAAGCCTATCCTCCAACGCACATGGAAGACAATATAAAACCACACCATTAAGTACATCCACATAGAATCAGGTAACCAAGTGCTATGAAGAAAAAGAAAGTAGGGCACTGGGTGGAGAGTGGTGGGATGCAGTAGTCAGGGAAGGCCTCTCCAAATAACTTCCATGATATTTCAAGCCCAGAGAACAAATGAAACGGAGATGTCACTGCTAGAAATAAGGATATTGAGAAGAAGACTTAGCTTGTAAGAGTATAGAGAAGGTAAGGAGTCTTGTTTTAAGTGTGTCAAGCTGTGATAATAGCAGTGTATCCACACAGAAATATTTAGACTCTAGAACTCTAGTCTATAAGACCAGAGGAGACAGTGGCTACACATATAAATTTCAGTGTCTTCCACTGATATCCGAGTGATAAGCAACTTCCTTTCTAAAACTATGAAAGTAACTAAGGGTCTAAAAAAAATTTCTAGTGCGGTAGTCTTAAAACTACAAATAGTTTTGTCATATCTCCTATGATGACTCCCTCCCTTCAGCTGCCTGGAGCCCCAGGGGTGGGCAGTGACTTTGTGTAGGCAGCAAGCAGCCGGTAACAAAATAATAATTATTATTGTTATTATTATATTATAATAATTGTAACAATAACAATTATTATTGAAGCTCATTTACAACTAACCATCCAAAAGACCTCTTTCCCCTGTGTCTTCAATCCCCAAGGCAGAGGGGTAGGGACAGTTCTATCCCTCCTCTGCACTTAACCCTTGAAACACATGCACCCCTTTGTGACTTTACCCTCTGCAGATGGCTCTGAATGTCTTAATGTCTGAGAGAAAGGGATTTAGAAAGCAAAATATAAAAATTTTAAACTAGTCCTTCCTACCTTCCTAGAAGTGGCAAGAGTTAAATGTTGAGATAGACTCAAGGGTAGGATGACTATTTCAGTTTGCCTGGAAGTGTTTCAGTTTGCCTGGAAGTATCTCAGTTTTAGTGCTCAGTTTTAGCAGGAGTCCTGCATTTCAGAGAACCCCTCAACCCTGAGCAAAATAAGATGGTTGGTCACCCTATGGCTTGGTTTGACCATCATCGCTATAACCTGTATCTTACCTGCATGCATGACACAACACAGTGCTTTACTTCCCTAAAAATGACATCAGCCCCACTAAAATATATGTTTAGTTTCCAAGCCCTACCTAGTCACCTTCTACCCTAGGAGCCAGGTTCTCTTTTCCCACCCAGACAGAGGAGCTGCACTCAGAAATTCCTAGACATGAGTTAACACTGGATTCCTTAGCCTTCTACTCCCATCATCTCCTGCTCAGCCCCAGCTACCACCTAAACTAGGAAGATCAAGTCTACCAGTGACCTCCGTCCATGGCACTTGCTGCCCCTCCTCTGTCCAGCTCTTACCAATATAGCT
Organism: Homo sapiens; assembly: GCF_000001405.40. NCBI lineage: Eukaryota > Metazoa > Chordata > Mammalia > Primates > Hominidae > Homo > Homo sapiens. Next base: position 209,673,276 of record NC_000001.11, read on the forward strand.
GCTGGAACCTGGAGGTCAAAGTCAAATTATCAAAAAAAGGAACTGAGCTGGTGATGTGCACTAACACAGCAAATCACAGGAAAGGGGAACCCCAGGTAAATTACAGCCTTCTGACCTAGGAAGACGTGTGGTTTGCGTCTCTGAGTTACAGAAACACAGGAAATGCTTACTGGACCAGTCAATTTCAGAATTTTGGGTCCCAAGCTAGGCTGACTCACCTTCAGAATGGAAACCACGTGACAGCCCTTATATCAGGGCACACATCACATGCTCTTCCAGAAGTCAATGGGTTTGGAACCCTCACAGATATTGGGAAAGCTCACTAATCATTTCTGCCAGTTATCAGAGGTTGCTCTGAAACTATAAGGAAGATTCAAAGAAAATGCCAAGACTGATATTAAACTTGGCAGGAACCCTTGTTACAGAATTTTCCTGCCTGACAAGGTTAAAAGAACAATAAGCAGGAAACACAGTCCTCCAGGAATAATCAATTCTATTTGGCCCCTGGTCACCTTCACTCAGACTAAATTCTAAAACATAGAATTTCAAATAAGCTATTTAGATAACCTTGACCATTCTCCACACACAAGCCCTTGCCTGAACTATTAATAGTCAAGGCAAAGGGTAGTTGTTATTGCTGCCTTTTTAAACTGAATCATCTGAGAAATTGCTTCAGACCCCCAAAGAAAGATTACTGTTAACAATTCAAAAACTAAAATATTTGATCCCTGAGACAGCCTTTTCCCCCGACCCGCCCTTCAGGGCTCAGTCCGACCGACTGCAAAGGCTGTTGCAAGATTGCATCACTGACCTTTGCAATTTTCTGGCCAGTTTGATTTCCCCTTCTTTCCCCTGCCCCCTCCCTTTCTCTGCTTAAAGGCCTTTGGCCAATTTGCCTCTCCTTTTCCCCAAGTTTGCTAACCCTTTGGCCAATTTGCCTCTCTTTTTCCCCAAGTTTGCTAACTCTAGCATATCCATAACCAAAGCCAAACTAGAACGCTCCCTCAGCCCCAGGTGATTACAGCTAACCCTGGTCAAAATCAATCCTACATCTTCACACGTCCAAGAGTACTCACACTCTGGATTCTTACCTAAGCTGTCTACTACACGCCCTTCTGCCCACAAACTGCTTCAAAGCTGAAGTTGAGCTGGAGCAGTGAAGTTGTACCCCCAAACCCAGGAGGGTGGCAGAGAATTATTGAGGAGAGCATGAAATACTTCCATTCTAAAATGGCAGATGAACTTCTACCAACAGCCCCTTCCATACTTGACCCCCTACCCCCAAGCTCCCAACTCCACTTCTCAAGTGGAAGTGAGAACAATTTGAATTTGAAGGCTCTTCCCTGATACACGGAAGTACATAAGGAAACAGCTCGCAGGCAAAGAGACTAATCTCTCTCTCTTTCTCTCTCTCTCTCTCTCTCTCTCTCTCTCTCACACACACACACACACACACACACACACCTCTGTGCATAAAAGCACCATCAATGAATAGTTTTCTATCAACTGACTCTAGTTATACATGCATGTACCTCTAAATAAAACCAACCAGGCAGGAAAGAAACAATATTAGCACATATTGCTTTATCCAAGCGTAACCTGTTCTGTCCTGTTACCCAGATCCTTCCCCCTTGCCTTCTCCTCTCTGATCCATTGCCACACACGTGGGAAGGTGACAACCCTTCCGAATAAAAATGAAAGCTTTCTTCTTTAGATGGAACCCCCAAATTCCCTCATTATTTATAATGTCAGGCTGTCCTGGACAAGGGAAGCTGTGCACCCGCTGACACCAGTAAGAAGGTTGCCGCCATGTCAGAGATGTCCGCGGACACCTCCCTGGGCTCCGGGTCCTCCCCTGCGCTCGCCTGGAGTGGGACCTTCGCGTGCACACTGGCCTTCCCACGCGCCCCGCTGCGATGGCACCCGCGCCGGGCCCCCTAGCTCACACAGTCGGAGCGTGCTCAGCGCGTGGCCACCTCCTGCCAGGTCCCAGCCGGGTTCCACCCCCTCCTTTTCCCCTCCTCTTCTTCCTCCCCCTCCGAGTTCCCCTGGCTCTGACCGCGCTGGCCTGGGCCGGAGAGCCCAGGAGGCGTGTCTCAGAGAAAAGATATAAGCGGCCCCCGGACGCTAAAGCGGTGCCAGCGGCGGAGTCTCCAACTGGGAGAGCTGCAGCTGCCGAGAGGAGGAGAACGCTGAGGTCGGTCGGACCAACGGACGCGCTGACCGCTGCCAACTGCAGCTCGCGCTGCCTCCTGCTCGCGCCGTGCCACTAAGGTAGTCCGCCTTTCTATGAGCCCTCCCCAAGATTAGCTGGGTGCGGGGTGGTGGGAGCCGTTCTTTGGTGGCTGAAGCCCCTCTCCTGCTGCTCCTCCTGCAGGTCATTCCCGCCTCCGAGAGCCCAGAGCCGAGATGGAAACGGTCCAGGAGCTGATCCCCCTGGCCAAGGAGATGATGGCCCAGAAGCGCAAGGGGAAGATGGTGAAGCTGTACGTGCTGGGCAGCGTGCTGGCCCTCTTCGGCGTGGTGCTCGGCCTGATGGAGACTGTGTGCAGCCCCTTCACGGCCGCCAGACGTCTGCGGGACCAGGAGGCAGCCGTGGCGGAGCTGCAGGCCGCCCTGGAGCGACAGGCTCTCCAGAAGCAAGCCCTGCAGGAGAAAGGCAAGCAGCAGGACACGGTCCTCGGCGGCCGGGCCCTGTCCAACCGGCAGCACGCCTCCTAGGAACTGTGGGAGACCAGCGGAGTGGGAGGGAGACGCAGTAGACAGAGACAGACCGAGAGAGGAATGGAGAGACAGAGGGGGCGCGCGCACAGGAGCCTGACTCCGCTGGGAGAGTGCAGGAGCACGTGCTGTTTTTTATTTGGACTTAACTTCAGAGAAACCGCTGACATCTAGAACTGACCTACCACAAGCATCCACCAAAGGAGTTTGGGATTGAGTTTTGCTGCTGTGCAGCACTGCATTGTCATGACATTTCCAACACTGTGTGAATTATCTAAATGCGTCTACCATTTTGCACTAGGGAGGAAGGATAAATGCTTTTTATGTTATTATTATTAATTATTACAATGACCACCATTTTGCATTTTGAAATAAAAAAACTTTTTATACCATATCTCATGTAATTCCTGAGAGGTGTGGTGTCCTGGGGTGGGAAGCAGGGAGGGTGAGCAGGTGGGCGATGGTGATGGGTTCTTACCTGAGCACTGCAGAGGGAGCAGCTTCCTGAGGGTCAGACACTTGCTTCACACCTAGGAACTGTGTAATAAGTTACTACATGCATATAAGTCTGTTGAGGACTTGTTTTTCCTTCTTGTTAGGGGTGGGAAGAGAGAAAATTTTATAACTTCCGTGAGATTTAGCATTTTAACATCAAAAGGTAGATCAACTTCTGAGCTACAGTGAGTAGGAGATAACTGATTAATTCTAAGGCAGAAAAGCTCTTTGTTCCTTACACCTGTGCACCAGAGGTTCCCATGGCTGATACCTTTTTCTTCCCAACTATATTTTAGACAGACAGACAGAGAGAAGGAAAGAAAATGAAGGAGGGAGGTCTGGAGGTGAAGGGAAGGAAAGAAAGGAAAAACTATCTACCTGGCAGGAAAAGAGATAAGCTCCCAAGAACACCAAAGCAGATGATGAGTCTAGCTCTACCCAGCCTTCCTCCCCACGAATCCAGATCATAGTAAGAAACTCTGGGCTAGAAAGAGAAAAAAACCGGTTGTTACATATCTGAGTCCTCCTCCTCCAGTGTACAGAGCTTCATCTGTAGTAATAGCTAATTCAGTGACTCTATAGGGCTCAGCAAAACAAATTTTAAACTTTAAAGAAGTAGCCAGGAGCCAGAGGCATGGCCTTGATGCTAGTCTCCTCACATTTTTCATGTCACCTGTCCTAATCAGGTACTGACACTTTACTCCTTTCATCAACAGCTATGCATTTTTGCCAAACATATCACTGGCTCACACCATTGCCTCTGCTCAGACTCTCTCCTTCGTCCAATGCCCTACACACATCTCCATTTCATTTCTGCCAACTCAATTCCTACCAAGTGTTCCTGGCCCTGATCAAAAGCCATCTCTTTCTGAAATCTATTCTTATCACTCCCAAAGGAAAAAAGCAATCAGAATGTGGTAAGATTAATCAAGGAAAAGAAACATATTTGGAGTTTTAAAGGAAAAGAATGTCAGTGGCACCATGGCTCTCCCAGTTTCCAAAATGGGAAATTCAGCCCTATACCAAGGCAGAGCCTCACTTTCAATGTCCAAGAAACTTCCTAGGAACTGACTCAATTTTATCCTTCCTGCTGGTCTTCCAAAATGCCTCTTTTATTAATTACTCCTTTACCCATTCAGTTACCACCTTGTCTGGCTCTCAACCGCTCAAGCCACCCCCTGCACCTTCTAGCACATTCACCCTAAACAATCCCTTGTCAGACTGTCTTCCTTTAATATCTTTCATTCTGCTGCTCCTGAACTCAAAAACATCTGAGACTAAAACTCTTATGCCAGGTTTCAGTGCCTCTGTGATGTGCTTCCATCACAGCTGGCCGTCTTGCCTGATTTGTCAGGGTGCCTAGCATGAACCCTGGTCCTTGCCTGTTTCCTTCTGGTTTTCTGCACCTTCATTTACATTACTCTTCCAACCCGAATTTCCAACCCGAATGTCCTCCCACCCACTACCTCCACATCTTCTGAAACCACATACCTCAAATTCTCCAAGGAAGGTATGATTTCAAATACAGGTATTTTGCCCATTGTCAAAATACATGTAAAATTGTGTGCTCTGATTTTTGAGATGGAGTCTTGCTCTGTCACCAGGCTGGAGTGCAGTGGCACAATCTTGGCTCACTGCAACCTCTGCCTCCTGGGTTCAAGCGATTCCACTGCCTCAGCCTCCCGAGTAGCTGGGACTACAGGCGTGTACCACCATGCCCAGCTAATTTTTTGTATTTTGGTAGAGATGGGGTTTCACCATGTTGGCCAGGATGGTCTCAATCTCCTGACCTCATGATCCGCCTGCCTCAGCCTCCCAAAGTACTGGGATTACATGATTTTTTATTTAGAGGGTAACGCCTATGTTTTGAAAGGTTGCCTATACATAAAAAAATAAAGTTCCCTAAATATATAAGTATGCCTATATGTTTTTGTGTAGAAGGAAATTCCCCATGCCTATTTATATTCAAATTACCCAACCCAATCAAATCCGAGCTATTGAAATCTCTGTTCTCACTGGTCTTCTCAATTCTCTGAGTTCTTATAGGCCGTACAGCCTGAATCTCATACCACATCACTCAGTAATGGGCTTTTTTTCTTCCAGTTGTTCTGTGGGCTTGGTCATGTCTCTTACAGTATAATCTTCTTGAAGTAAAGGACCATGTCTTCTTCAGTGTTCACAGAAATCATTAGGTCCTAGGCAAATAGTAGGTTCTTAATAAATACTTGATTGTTTAATCATTTATGAGGCTAGAGCAGTGATTGTAAATGAAAGGAGAAGCAATTTTGTCCCTCCAGAGAACATTTGACAGTCTAAAGACATTTCTGGTGTCTGGGTGAGGGGAGGGGGCAGGACTGCAAGCATCTAGAGGGTAGAAGTCAGTGGGCTGTTAAACATGTTCTAATGCACAGGACAGCCCCCAACACAAAGAATTCTCCATTCCAAAATGTCAATAGGGCAGAAGTTGAAAAATTCTGGGTTAGAGGAAAGTAAGGAAAAAGGATTTGCTTAATAATTTCAGAATCGAAGTTATGAGGTGGTCTCACAAGGCTCTGTCTGGTTACAATCAAACATGTTCCTCCCCCAACACAGGAACAAAAATTGTCTTTTTTCCTATGCTGCTTGGTAATTTTACCAACAACCTAGGAGAGGTAGCAGAAGGTATACTTATCAGTTCTGTTGGTGACACAGAGCTGAGACAGCACAGTCAGAACTCAAAACAACTCAATAGGCTGGAACCACGCATCGAAGAAAAACCAACTGAAACCGAATAGGGAAAAAGATACAGTACAGAATTCAGATCCAAAAAACCAATTGCACAACCACAGAATTTGAAAGACATATTCTAGCAGCAGATCATGTGAAAAAGATCTAGAGTTTTTTGAAATTTTTAATTGACTCATTATAATTGTACATATTTATGGAGTACAATTTGATGTTTCCATACATGAACACATTGTATAATGATCAAATCAAGGTATTTAGCATAGCCATTGCCTCATGCATTTATCATTTCCTTGTGGTGAGAACATTCAAAAGCTTCTCTTCTAGCTATTTTGTAATATACAATACCTTACTGTTAACCATGGTCACCCTACTGTGCAAAAGAACTCCAGAACTCTTCCTCCTAATTGAAACTTTGTACCCCTTGACCAGCCTCTCCTCATCCTCCCCTCCCCTATCTCCCCCCAAGTCTCTGTTAACCACACTGATCTACTCTATACTTCTATAAGATCAGTAAATATACACATATATATATATATTCCACATTTAAGTGAGATCATGTGCTATTGGCTATTCGTCTTTCTGTGTCTGGCTTATTTCACTTAACATAACATCCAGGTTCATCCATTTTGTCTCAGATGACAGGATATCATTGTTTTCCATCGTTGAATAGTATTCCATTGTATACATATACCACATGTTCTTTATCCTTTCATCCACTGCTGGCAACTTAGGTTGATTTCAAGTCTTGGCTATTGTAAACAGTGCTGCAACAAATATGGGAGTACAGATATCTCTATATACCCACCAGTGGGAATGCTGGATCTTATGGTGGTTTTACTTTTAATCTTTTAGGAACCTCCATGCTGTTTTCCATTCCATTAGGAGCTGTGCTAATTTACATTCCCACCAACAGGGTATAAGCATTCCCTTTTCTCTACATCCTCACCAACACTTGCTTTCTTTTGTCTTTTGGTAAGAGCTATTCTAACTATAGTGAAGTAGTATTTAATTGTGGTTTTGACTTGTATTTCCCTGGTGATCAGTGATGTTGAACATTTTTTTTTCATATGCCTGTTGGCCATTTTTATGTCTTCTTTTGAGAAATATTAAGGTATTTTGCCCATTTTTAAAATTAGGTTACTTGGGTTTCTTTTGCTGTTGGGTTGTTTGAGTTTCTTATACATTCTGGATATTAACCCTTCATCAGATATATAGTTTGCAAATATTTTCTCCCATTCTGCAGGTTGTCTCTTCACTGCTAATTGTTTCCTTTGCTGTGCACAAACTTTCCAGTTTGATGTAATCCCATTTGTCTATTTTTGCTTTGATTGCCTATGTTTCTGAGGTCTTATCTAAAACTTCTTTGCCTAGTCCAATGTCTCAAAATATTTCCCCATATCATCTTCTGGTAGTTTCATAGCTTCTGATTTTATGTTTAAATCTTTAATCCATTTTGAGTTGATTTTTATAGGTATGCGTGACGTAACAATGGGGCTACATTGTGAGAGATGCTTTACTAGGCGATTTTGTCATTTGCACAAACATCATGGAGTCTACTTAAAACATACCTAGATAGCATAGTCCACTACATACCTAGGCTATATGGTGTAGACTATTGCTCCTAGGCTATAAACCTGTATGGTATATTACTGTACTGAATATTGTAGGCAATTGTAACATAATGGTAAGCATTTGTATACCTAAACATATCTAAACATAAAAGGTACAGTAAAAATACATTATTATAATTTTATAGGACTACCATCATATATACAGTCCCTCATTGGCCAAAATGTTATGTGGCATATGACCTGATATGGTGAGAGGTCAGGATCTAGTCTTGTTCTTCTGCAGGTGGATACCAAATTTTCCCAGCACCATTTATTGAAGAGACTGTCTTTTCCCCAATGTGGGCTCTTGGCAACTTTGTTGAAAATCAGTTGGCTGTAGGTGAGTGAATTTATTTCTAAGCCCTCTATTCTGTTCCATTGGTCTATATATCTGCTTTTATGCCAGTATCATGCTGTTTTTGTTATTATAGCTTTGAAGTTTATTTTGCAGTCAAGTAGTATGATGCCTCTAGTTTTGTTCTTTTTGCTCAGACCTAAAGATTTTTGGTGGTTACAAGTTCAATAAAAGCCAACGAGGGCTTATAACAGGACTTCTAAAACAAATTAATGCTTCATTAGTAGAAGTATAATGTGCAGAAAAAGAGAAGAGCAGGTGGCTTTGTTATACTTTGCATTCTGTCAAGATGAAAAACTAAGAGTTTAAATCGGACTGCCTGGATTTGCTTGGGTTTGCATCTTGACTCTCCTATTTGTAGTTCTAAAACCTGGGAAAGTTATTTACACACACACTGTCTCTCAATTTACTTAAATTCTTTCTTCATCTGTAAAATAGTACCTTCCTCAGGGAAAATTTTGCTGATTAAATGAGTTAATACACATAGAGTTCTTACAGTAGTACCTTGCATATAGCAGGCTCTATCAGTCAATGAGAGCTATTATTGTTATTGTTAATATTTTAAGACAAACCTTGACCAAAAAAAATCTACTTAGATTTATTAGAGTGACGAGGGCAAATAAAAGTCCAGAAACTCTATCACATACAAAACAATTGAAGAACAATAGAGATATTAGATTCAGTAGCTTTACATGACAATTGCTCCAAATATTCCAAGAGCTGCTATATTGGAGAGGATAAGACTTATCTGGCTCAAAAATAGAGAACTAGCACTATTAAGCAGGATTACAAGGAGGCAGATATTATATTATTAAGATATCAGAGTAATTAAAAAACATAATGAATTGCCTTGTGATATATAGTAAGCTCCCCATTACCAAAAGCATTCAAGCAGGGGTTGGAAGTCATCTGCCAGGGATGGTATAAACTGGAGAGGAGATTCCTGGACTTGGAGGTTGCATCCAGTTATAAGATGCTAGGATTCTGTCTAATATTACCACCAAAAAGCGGATGTATTTCCCTTTCCAGCCTGTCTGTCTAGATCATCCCTTTCTTTAAATGCCTCTTTATTCTTTTTCTCAGCATATTGATAAATATGTTTCCTTTTCACTCAATTACTATTAAATGTGATAAATTTAATTCCAAAAATAAATTATTTCTTGATTAAGCTCATCTAACTAATGCTTTTGCCTTTTATAAAAATACCTTAACCTACTGGTCAAACCTAATAGTCTCAAATTTGGTCATAGTGAAATGCCTATTAAAGTTATCTTCCTCTTCACAAAACACCACAAAATTTGATCTATTTATAGAAATAAATATATATAGTTTTGTGCTATATTAGATGCCATCTTGCACTATATTGTAATGAAAACAAATAGTAGGTATCAACTGAGAATATTTAAAGTTTCCCACATTCTTAGGAAAATTTGATTGTTCTGTAGTCATGCTAACCTGAACTAGTAGAAAACCCAGTGGCTTAATCAATGACAATTCACCTGTTAAGCTTTTAGAAGCCAACCAATCAGTGATAGGCCCTCACTTCTGAGAGTCAACCAATCAGGAATGAACTCATGCCATTAACTGCATCTCAGAGTGCTAACCAATCAACAAATAGTCATGCTTCTATAGCTGATGTTAGCCCATTTATGTCTGGGAAAGTACACCAGTCCCTGACCTTCATGCATCCTCGAAACCCTATATGAGATCAGCAGCCTGCTTTTCAGAGAGATTGAGCAGCAAAGCTTGCCCTTACTATAATGAGCAATAAGTTTACCATTTTTGTTTTATTTTAGACCTTAAATGGGGGACTCATCATTCTTTGACAATTCTGGAAGCTCTACTGTGATTGTTTTAAAGACCTTCCCTTGGCAATATTCCAGGGAACATGGGACCAACAGGTACACTTACTGGGCTCCTTGTGCCCAAGTGCATTTGTCCTTTAGATCTGCTGCCTGGTGAGAAAATCTCAATGATAACCTGAGATCTGACTGGTTTCATTAAGTTCTCATTGCTTCTGTGATTTACAAGCAAACAGGTCTTTGTATAAGATCATTATGCCTAGTTCTTTGTATTACATAATTAGAAAATTTAGTCAACAGGTGCACATTTTAGTAAACAATTACACCTAGACCCTTGTAAAAGGTCATTAGGCATTTTGTTTGGGAGGTACACCATTGAGTAATTGGACATAGGTCTTGGTATAAGATCATTTGATATTTTGTGTGGGAAGTATACCACTGGGTAGTTCAACACAGGTCTTTTTATAAGTTCATTAGACCTTTGGTTTTGGAGGCATAAATATTTTTACCATTAAACTGTTTATTCCCCTCCTACTCTCTGTTTACTTTTGCTTGTCTATATTAAAAAATCTTATTGTATTTTTTCTGTATTGTCTTATTTCTGATATAAGGGAGTGTTCCAGAGGAAATGAATGGAGATATATACTCCATAAGTTACCAATCCAATCCAAGCTAGTCCTCAGCGATAACATTTGGAGGTCCAGTAAACTGAAAACCAATTTGGGAAAAGGCAATTGGTCAGATCTACAAAAAACTTTGATGAGAGCATGCCCTGTCTTGTCAGTCTGTGATAGGACACTTTTAGTTTGTACACTGGGGTGAAAGATTTTGTCAGGTCATTAATTATGTGGTCCTTTCTAACCTTTGCTTAGAAAGGGAACCCAAGATAGCATTCACAGGCACACACTTTTACTCAGTGGCATCTCTTGTTCTTCTTGGTTTCTTCCATGTCAAAGCTGCAGTCTCCACTGGAAGAACTCCTGCTTTCCATATAAAATTGCCATATAATCCTAACTCTTGTACTTATTTTGGTAAACTGCAAAAATTAATGTTAGAATAGCAATGGCCATCACGTAGAACTTCTGACATGTCAAAATGAATAAATTAAGATATTTAAGAGGAGGCCCAGAAAAATTAGGAGACAAAGCCCCAAAGAGGCAATAGTCAGCTTCTTTCATTGGTAAGCTAAGGCTTCAAAATAAAATTTTAACTTGAGAATGGTCTCTCTCAAAGACTCTGATACCACCTAAAACCTACCCTCCTTTCATTTCTCTTTCTACTCAGCTTTACCTGACCTTCAACATGAGACAACCGTTTCTTCTAAGTTTTCTCTGAAAAAGAGTAATCACATTGTAAAACTGCTAAACCAGAGGGGAGCCCTAAAAAGCTGAATTTAAACCCTGGCCTGGAGCAAAATTAAAAGTTATCATGAAAGATTTTCCTAAGCCTCAGGGGTGGTTGAGCAGAAATTAGTTAACAATTCAGGATTTTATTAGGTACTTATTGTTCTGGATTAAACATCTGTACCAAATGATTCAGTTAATTGTTAGTCCATCCAATAGAGAAAAAAAATTATAAGCAGCAGGGTAAGAAAAAAATTAAATAACTCAGTTGTGCAAAATGAAAAACAAACGCCTTAAGTGGACAAGAAAAACCTTGAAAATCCAGTACAAAAAGCAATTTCAAAAAAATCTTTCTTTTAAAAGTATGTTAGACAAAGATTAAAAATTGTAAACTAAATGAAAATGAAAAGAGACTTCAGAAAACTTTCAAAGAGCATTCTGGAGTACACTCAACAGCTGAAATAAAAGAAACATTGTCTTTATTTTTTTCTATTAAAGGGCTCAAATATGAATTCAGAGATTTAATGAGAAAAAAGTAATTGAAATATGAAACTGACAGCTTAGAAAATATCCAATACATAGCTAGATATTTTCAGAGAGCTCTAGAAAGTAAATAAGCTAGAAATCAATAGAACGTATGGTTCTCTACATAAAAAAACTTGCCCCGAAATAAAAACAAAGCCAAAAAGTCTTCTATTTTCTAAGAATTGGGAACATATAGAGAGGGGTACTTGTAGATATTGCAAGCAAAAGTGTCATTCAAAGAACCAATGTTCCACATTGGCTAAGTAACAGAAAGATGACTATCCAAAATCTGTCTAATGGTGTTTCTCCAAAGGAGACATTAGTACCCAACAATTACAGTCCTTCCTCGGAGTTTGTGTCCCCAAATCTCAGAGGGGCCAGTCGCTATACTCTCCATCAGGGCATAGCTACATCTAGCATGGCTTACCACTCTATCCCCAGCCTCTAGCCCAGTGCCTAGCATAGAGTAGATGCTTATTAGATATCTGTTGAACAAATGAAGAAATAGAGGAAGAAAGTACATTTTTGTTTTGACATGCTGTAGTCCCTTCCTTAGTCCAGAGATCACAAACCTCTGAATTGGGATGTGACTCTCTCTGTCATTAATCGGCAAGAATCATGGTAGAATTATTGTCCCTACTTACGGATTCTCTTTCCCTTATACATCCCATTGCAGATTCCTGTCTTCCCTTTACATCCACTCCAACATCAGCTGATGCAGTCACTAAAATGGTTTATAAGTCACATATGAGATTCCCTAAGGAGTTTATAATTGAGAAATGTGTGGACACACAGGCCTCACAGAATGCACTGGATCACTAGAGTCTCTCCTGGTGAAAAGGGAAAACCTGCCCAAATCCAGTTTTTGTTTCAGTAACTTCCTTTGAGACAAAGTCAGGAATCTGAGAGTAAGCACCTGCTAAGGGTGGGACAGGGGCTCTGTCTGGTATGCCTCTCCCATGTTAAGAGCTAACAATAGTAATGGATAAGTCTCCAGGGCAACCAGGACCACTTCCAAGCATTCCTGTCTTGGGCTGCCTCGAGGGCTCCTCTGTCCTTTGGGGAGTACTGATTGATGCCTGATGCCCAGAACTGGCCCACTCTGGCTTCTCTTTGGAGCTGTCTCTGCAGGCGCCTTCTGGCTGCCAGCTCGGTCCTAGCATAAGGGACTTCTTCCTTGGCCTGGGTTTCACCTTCTTGTATCAGGTGGCAGACCAGCTGGTTTCAGTCCCAAATCAGGTCTTCTGACTCCTCCCAGAAACCAACCAACTTCTGAGCAGGAAATCCTGCCCCTCCCCAAAGAGTGGGAAACCGCAAAGGAAGAGAGAGATGAAACAGAAGGAAAGGCAGAGGAGGAGGGAGAGAGAGAGAAGAGAAGAAAAAGAAAAAAGAACATCAATAAAAAGAAGTCAGATTTGTTCGAAATCTTGAGGTAAGACTTTTAAAAATCACATTATATATAATAGTATCACCATTTGTATCAGGGCCTAGTACATAGTAGGTCCTCAAAAAAATCTGCTATTGAAATAATTAATCTATCGAAATGAACAGGAGGGCTGGGCTAAAGAAAAATTTCAATGTGAAATGCTGGTCAGAAAAAACAAGAAGAAACGCCCGATGAGCTTTCAAATGTGTAGGAGGGATGATATGATAAGATGCAGATGGAACCAGAAGTCTCTTGCTGGCACTGACAGCATTCTGATCATTGTGGGACAGAAAGTCAAGTTGGAACAAAAAAGTTGCAAAGATAGTATAAAAAGTGTCTGCATGTTCTTTTGGAATTACAGAAAGACAGCAAGAATTATAGAAATGTTGTAAGCAGTTTTTAAAATCGGCTTTAAACCAATGACAGAGCACAAACACTATGCTGTATCTTGGGAAGTACTTAAATGTGCTGATACCTGCATGTTGCAGCCAAACATCAGCCAGTTTAATGTTATTAACATTTAGATCTAGAGTGTTGAAAAGGCTCATTTTATTTCCAGAAGTCTTGTTCAGTGGACCAAGGGAGGCCTAAACGTGTCCATCAAAATTCTTCATGTGCTATTCATCTATCCTTTAATCCTAGTCCAGCTGGGCTGCTCAGAATACTGACCCTCTGAGCCCTAAACGGGCCTTTTCAGAGAAAATCCCAACACTTGTTTCAGGTCAAGGAACTAGAGAAACCTGACAGGAAAGGGAAATACCATTCCCCACCCTCACCATTTACCCAAACCTTCACTTGCCATCAATAGACCATATCATCCAGAGGGTTGTGGCTTAGTGATCCACTCACTTTGGAGAGATTAAAATAGCTGGATGCATGCTTCAGAAAACATCTACAGACGACGATGATGTGTTTTCACAACAGTTGGCTTTTAAGAGTCCAACTCCTCTGACTTTTCCAACAGAGCTTACCAGTATCAGAGGGACACAATTGAAGTGTTTCCTTCAGAGCCAGTGTTTCTCTTTGGGGTTTGTGTGAGTTCATCAGAGTCGGAAGCTGAAAGGAGGGTGGGAAAGGTAAGGAGAGATGAAACAATCTCACTTCTGCTGGCTTGCCAAGGTTTGAAAGGAACTGCCTCCCTGTCATTAGGATGATATGAAAATAAAATCTGAAAATCCTAGCTCTTTCTTTATACTAATTTGAGTACAGCTAAAAGTTCTCTGTGTCCAATTTCTGAGCTAGAACAAATATTAAAGGTAATCTAATTTATTTCTCCTTGTTTGCCAGATGAGGGAATTGAAGCCAAGACAAGGGAAGGGCCTTGCCCAAAGTCACATGTATTGTCAGTGATGGGAGGGAGACTGGAACTCAGTTCTCCCAGAGTCCCACCCAGGAGCCTTTTAAGAAATCATGAAAACTTTACAAGAAGGTACCCCAGATGTCCGAGAGCTCATAAACACCGCAGCTGCTGACTAAATACAACATTCAGTTAAAAGATGCTCAAGTAATCTTTCCCTGGCAGAAATAGAAAGAAGAAAAAGATTTCCCCAATAGTTTAGTTTTTCCAGAATCTGTTTTATAACTGTTAGGAGACTAGGGAGGAGAAAGATTTGAGGCAGATTTGTCATGAGAGAACTAGAATATTTTACATTCCTACCATTGATCAGCATTTTACATGTCTCATTTCTTTATGTAATCTTCATATTATCCTCATTTTACAAATAACATTGTTTTAACTTTGCTCAAATGCACAGAGGGAATAAGATATTATGATTTCTGGAGCTCTTGTTGGTAAGCCCAGGATCAGGCTCTGGAGAGACATGGCTAGTTCAGTGACTGTTCCAGCCTTACTCAGGCCCCTCCCCAACACAGACCCTTGCTCTAGCCATTCAGGCTACCTGAGTTGCCTCCAAAATGCCATGCTTTCTAGACTTCTTGCCTGAATACATGCAGTTACCTCTGCTTGGGATGCCTTTCTCCAACATCCTCATAACTTGTACTTAGCCTTCAAAACTGAGCTCCAGGACCACCTCCCAGAGCCCTTTCCTGCTGCCATGGCCTGTCCCTTCTCTACTTCAACAGCCCTCTACACACATTCCTATTATAGTATACATCACGCTATGGTGAGCTCTGACTTACTTGCCAACTTTCCTTGTGCTTGACTTCAAACTCCTTGAAAGCAGACACCACATATTAGTGAGGCTTTGTATTCCCAGCGCCTAGCACAATTCCAGAGATGTATTAGTGCTCAGTAAGTATTTTTTTAAATGGACGAACAAATGGAATATTTCCCCTCCTTTTCTTCGAATAAAACCATGCAATAAAAAGTCTTGTTTCCATGCTCTTGACTCTTCAGTAACTTGGGGGTAAGTAGAAGATATCACTACTATAAGCTTCCTCTCCTTTCAAGCCTGACAAGCCACTCAGAAATAGCTATCTAGGGTTAAACTTGGCACTCTGAACAGACATTAATTTCTGCATCCTGACAAAATGCTTTGATGACAGTAGAAGAATTTATATGCCATAAGCCACAAGGACAAAAAGACTGGGAACATGGGAACAACAGAGATAACAACAGTTAAGGAATGTCAACACTCTTGGAAGATGGAAAGTGGATGGATGAGTAATAAGTGACTTAGCAAACCCAAGACTGCTGGAGTCTGAGTGCTCATGATGGGAAGCCTCAGGAGTTGGAGGAACAGGTGGGGGTAAACATAGCAGAAGACCCTTGGCCTCTACAGCTACTCCAGCTGGAGAAGGAAAGTTTATTTTCTGGAGAAACTTAACAAAGACACACCAGGCTCTGGGACATCAGACACAGCAGAGGGTGGGGTTAGGCATGGAGCTGGAAATAGCGAGATTAGAGAAAGACTCCATACTGAAAGATGAGATTCCCCAGCCCATTTTACTGGCTCAGCTCCCAGAACACAAACAGCCTAGCTCTACCCCTCTCCACCCACCCTACCCCAGCTTACACTAAGCAGAAGAATTAAGGATTCTTCCCTGTAGAAAGGACTCAACCAAAGAGACAAACACTACAGACATTGATGTGTGGTTCCTCCAATGAAACCGCCAGGGGCCTTCTGGATTATCCTACAGTGAAGTCCAAAAATTGACAAGCCCTGCCCTCACACACAAAGCTTCCAACAGCCAAGGAAGAGACTACAAAGATCACCAGGTGATATAGTTTGGATATTTGTCCCCTCCAAGTTGCATGTTGAAATTTAATCCCCAAGGTTGGAAGTGGGGCCTGATGTGAGGTGTTTGAGTCGTGGGGGTGAATCCCTCATGAATGACTTGGTGCCATGCTCATAGTAATGAGTGAATTCTTACTCTATGAGTTCCTGCAAGAACTGGTTGTTCAAAGAGCTTGGCCCCTCCCACCCCTCTCTTGCCATGTGATGTCTGCTCCTCTTGGACTTCTGCCATGAGTGGAAGCAGTCTAAGGCCCTCACCAGGTGGAGATGTCGGCACCGTGCTTCTTCTGCAGGCTGCAAAACCATAAGCCAAACAGAACCCTTTTCTTTAAAAACTACTCAGCTTCAGGGGTTCCTTTACAGTAACACAAACAGACTAAGACACCGGGCATGGGACAAAAGCCTTAGATACTGGAGACCTCAAGAGAGGAAATCTAGAAAGCCAAAGAAATAATTATCAGTAACGGCCACAGCAACATCAATATCCCCCAGAGATAAGGGAAGATATTTCATGAATTATGATCAAGAAGCCAATTTTTGGCTGAAAATAAACTTTCCTTCTCCAGCAGTGTCTCATGCCTATAATCCCAGCAGTTTGGAAGACTGAAGTGGGAGGATCACCTGAACCCAGGAGTTCAAGACCAGCCAGGGCAACATAGAGAGACCCCAGTCTCTACAAATAAAAAAATTAGCAGAGCGTAGTGGTGCATGCCAAGCTACTTAGGAGGCTGACATGAGAGGATTGCTTGCACATAGGAGGTTGAGGCTGCAATAAGCTGTGATGGCGCCACTGCGCTCCAGCCTGGGCAACAGAGTGAGACCCTGTCTCAAAAAATAATAATAATAAGATAAAATAAAGAACCAATTTTTAAGTATGGAGAAGAAAAAAGAGCTCTTTAAATGAAAGCGCAATTGGACATTTAAAAATTAAAATGAAGGGCCAGGAGCGGTGGCTCATGCCTGTAATCCCAGCAATTTGGGAGGCCAAGGTGAGCGGATCACCTGAGGTCAGGAGTTCAAGACCAACCTGGCCAACATAGTGAAACCCCATCTCTACTAAAAATACAAAAATTAGCCGAGCATGGTGGTGCATACCTGTAATCCCATCTACTCAGGAGGCTGAGGCAGGAGAACCGCTTGAACCCGGAAGGCAGAGGTTGCAGGGAGCCAAGATCGCGCCATTGCACTCCAGCCTGAGCGACAAGAGTGGAATTCTGTCTCAAAAAATTAATTAATTAATTAAAATTAAACTTAAGCATTGGAAGATAAAATTGAGGAAATCTCCCAGAAAATAGGATGAAATGGAAAGAGATTAAAAAAATAAGACATAGAAAGATAAGAAACTTAAAAGATCAGCTCAGGAGCTCTAATATCTTCTATTAAGAAGTCCAAAAAGAAAGCACAGAGCAAATGAAAGAGAATAAAATACTCAAAAAAATTTCTCTAAAATTTACCAAAATACAAGATTTGAATTTCCATATTCAGTGGACCCAGTGGGTGCCCAACACAATGAACCACAAAAACAAAACTCATCAAAGAATATTATTGGAAATGTTAGAACCCCAGGAATAAAAGGACCCCAAAAGTCCTGGAGAAAGAAAAATAGTTCACAAACCAAGGGTCAGAAATCTGAACAGCAGTTGGACCTCTCAGTGTCAACACTGGAAGCTAGAAACTGAAAGGCAAGACAGCAACATCTTCCAATTCTCAGAGAAAACTTACCTAGAAATCCTTACCCGGCCAAAAAACAATCAAGGAGAAGGTAATACAAGGACAAGCGGATGGGGCTGACCAGAACTGTCACACTGTCCTTTATTTGGCCGGGGTCAGATGGATTAATGCCCTCTTAAAGATGTTAAAAATGTGAAACATCACTCCTGCATACAAGGTCTCAAAACATTTCCTTATCATACATGAGGAAGTAAATCAAGAAAGAGAAAAACGGGAGTTCCCATTCCCAAAGGAAAGTCCCCAGA
Organism: Homo sapiens; assembly: GCF_000001405.40. Lineage (NCBI taxonomy): Eukaryota > Metazoa > Chordata > Mammalia > Primates > Hominidae > Homo > Homo sapiens. The sequence continues at coordinate 209,691,453 of NC_000001.11, forward strand.
TTCAGGGAACAGGAGGACTAAAGTCTTCAGTAAAATGTCTCCAAGAAAAAAATAAAGGAGCTCATAGATTACTCAATTAATTTGACCTATTTATTTGAATTTTATATCTCTTGTCAGAGGGTTTGAAGGACCTGTACAACTAAGAAAGCAAACAAATCAAAATGAAGTGATTATTAACTCCCAGGAATTCAATGAAGACTAGAAGAAAAGAAATGCATCATAGTATACTATATTGTTCAGCTGTAAACAATTAATCATAATAATACAAACACTATTGATTTAATTAAAATTGTGTTATTATAATATTAGGAATCTAGAAAAAAGGGAATGGGTGTTTGTGTGTTGTAAAAACGCAAAATCCCAGTATTCCTTAGCAGGAAATGAATAAGTAATTTCCAAAATTGCAAAATCAAATAGCAGTAAAAGCACATCGTTTACAAATGTGGAGTTGGTTTTCAGGGGAAAATAAATTAAGATTTAAAAGCGATTTGCCTGTCAGTGGGACCAGGGCTGAGAAAGGAAAGAGCAAGGATTGTTGTCACTAGTTGTAAACCTTTTGTACTAGGTGACTTTTTAAGCCCTCCTCATGTATTATATTAATAAATGTAAAAACTAGTTTATTTAAAAAAAAAAAAAAAGGAAATGGCTCAGTTATAACACAGCAGTCTCCCAGGGAATACATTCTACCAACCAGTCAGCATGTTGATGTCTGGAGCCATTAAGTCTCTAACAAGCTAAAGTTAAAAGTATTTACCTAATTACCCAAAGTAGAAGTTCGGACCGGTATGTCTACAGGTTACTTTAGAATCACCTGGGGACTGTCAAAGAAAACCAGAGCTAGAGAGCAGTTAAAGTGGTAAAAACAGGTTTTAATCGGGACTATTGCAATGGAGGAAAAGAGATCTCAGTAAAGAACTGGACTCAATTCCAAATACACCATGGGAAGTGAGTGATAATTTACACTCAAAGAGCAGGATGGTGACTGGTGGATGGAAAATTTCTAAGAGGAAACATCAAGGTTGGGGTAAGGAGGGTTCTGGCTGAAAGGAAACAGGATTATTTCTGAAGACAGGCCAGGGTGGTCAGGCACCCCCTGGGGGATGATGGCAAATGAAAAAACCAATTAGAGATCAAGGAATCGGGTATTAAAATGGCGGGGGGGGGGGTGGGGGCTCGGTTCTTGCTAAATTGACTTAGCAGGATTCTTTGTAAAACTGGATTTTACAAGGAAGTGCCCAGATGGGCCTAGAAGGTTCAGGAGCCTGACTAAAGTTTGGCCAGAAAAATCTTTGTCAGGAACTTTGCAAAAAATCCAGATTCCTAGGTCCCACCCTTAATAAGCCAGACTCAACAGGATTTGGTGGGGTCTAAGGATCTGCCCTTAGTTCCCCCAGATGATTCATGGAGGTTTGGGAATCACTGGACTAGAGTGGAAATCAGGAGTGTGTGTTAGGAGGAGCAAGGGAATCAGTTTACATGTATTTTATGTGTGTGTAACTATTTCTGTATATTTAAGTCTCTCTCCCTCCCTCCTTCATTCTCTTTTATTTTCAGTTAACCCATAAATCCCTCTGGACTGCTGACGGCATTGCCAGAAATTAAGTAGCCATCCGAGCTGTCTCTCCCACTCCTGGGGCTCCCTCTGCTGGCAGAAGCATGTTAAAATTCTTAGCATCCTAAATCTAGAAATTCTCGTTCAGTTCCCTATTAGGTCAGTTTTTTGAGACTGTTGCCAAACCCTCAAATTTCATGAATCCTCCCATCAGATATAAAATACAAAGTGAAGCCTGGGAAAACTTTCTTGCCTTAAATTTGTGAATATATAAAGATTAGGAGGGAGCAGGACAAGGCAGAAATGAAAATGAAAGGTATATGCTGTGGTCAATACTGAGGAAGAGGAGACATTTGAGAATTTAAGTTCCCACCTTCTTCTTCCTGGCCCTCCCCCAGGAGATATGAATAGATGGGGAAGCTGCATGTAGCTGCTTTCCAAAAAATGCAAAGAAGGAAACAAGTTAGACTAAAAAGCTCACTGAATTTGGAAGCAGAAGGCAAGGATTCAATATCCACCCGTCCTCTACTTCCTCGATTCTCAAAAGAAGTGGTCTCCTTTTCCAGAGCCATGTGCCATATCATCTGGAGTATGACTCCATAAATCATATCCTTCCAGTGATCTTGTTTTTAGATTCTACTGGATCTTTCCCACAAACAGAAAGGATGCTCAGCCCAGCACACTGTCTGGCACAAATGCTCAATGCATTTGAGCATTTGAATGAAAGTTTAACTCATTTCTATCCCCCAAATCAAAACCCTCTTTCAGATCTCCATGCTTCTCAAGTGCCTCAAAATTGTGGACCAGTAAACATTGCATTCCCTCAGGTACTTCACTCTTCAACTCACAGCATTTCCACTTTAGCTCCTCTGGAACTCTCAGGCAAAGATCTCCAATGATTCCTTTATGCCAGACCCCCTGTATTCTTGGCACTTCTCACCTTCCTTGACCTCTCCCATCTCACTGAGACCTGTTCCCTTGGGTTCTGTGCTCTCTGTCCTCCTGCTCCCAGCTCACCGTTGTTCTCCTTTGCTGGCCCTCCCCTTCCGCCCAACCCTCAAACATGAGTGTAAGATTTCCCTCTTAGCCTTCACTCTGTCCCTGGTGGCTTCATCTACTCCTATGGTTGCAACATTAACTTCCATGATTTAATTCTCCCAATTCTATATCTTTAACCTGGACCTTTCTTCTGAGTTCCAAATACCTACCAGACATCTGTATCTGGATGTATAAGAATCAGTTCATCCATTACACACTCAAAAAATGCTTACTGAGCACCTACCCTGTGCCAAGCACCGTACTAACTCTGGAGATGCAGGGGCAAGCAAGGTGGAAATGGTCTCTGCCTTCCCAGAACTATCTAATGGGAAAGGCAGACAGTGAATGGCTAGGAGTAAAAAGTGATGAGTGCAATGATTAGAGAAATGCCTAGGGTTCAGAGAGCACTTTTTCTGGTCCCCAGCATTCCCTGAAGGTGTGACTTTGAAGAGCAGTACCTGAATGATAAGGAATTGGGGCAAGGGGAGGTTCCTGGGGAAGAATTTCAAAAATAATGAAGAACTTGTAAAGCTGTAATAGGTAGTTTGGACTTTATCCTAAAGACAATAAGGAGCCACTGAATCTTCTGAAGCAGAGAAATGTGCTGATCAGTTGTGGTGTGAAGAACTGGATGGATTAGAGCCCAAGGGGAACTTCACAGTGCTGGGATATTCATGTCTTAAGTTGGATGGTGAGCCATGAGGCTTTTGTTTCATACTTATGCTTTATACGTTATTCATGTTTTCCTATATTCTTTTGTGAATACCAAATATTTCACAAGCTTGTTTTAAAAATTAATAGATTGGGGAAGGTGAGGTGGCCAGAGAAATGTGAGGAGGTCACTAAAGCAGAAAACAGTGGTGGCCTGAGTTAGGATATGGCCTGGCTCTGTGTCCCCATCCAAATCTCATCTCAAATTGTAATCCCCAGGTGTTGAGGAGGGAAGGACCTGGTGGGAGGTGACTGGATTATGGGGGTTCCCCCATAATCTCATCTGTTCTCATGATAGTGAGTGAGTTCTCATGAGATGTGATGGTTTAAAAGTGTTTGGCTGTTCCCCCCTTTGCTCTGTCTCTCTCCTGCCACCATGTAAGATGTGCCTTGCTTCCCCTTAGCCTTCCACCATGATTGTAAGTTTCCTGAAGCCTCCCTGGCCATGCAGAACTATGAGTCAATTAAACTTCTTTTTTTATATAAATTACCCAGTCTCAGGTATATCTTCATAGCAGTGTGAAAGTGGACTAACACAGATGGTCACAAAGGGTGAAGATTTGGAGATGGTTCTAGAGATACTTAGGAGGTAGAATCGACTGTACTTGGTGATTAATGGAATATGGAGAGGGAGGAATAAAGAACTCCTAAGTTTCTGGATTACTAATTAGACGGATGGTGAAGCCATTGATTGAAATAGAGATCAATGGGAAATGGTGAGTAAAAATAACAGTCATTGGAGAACAGTTTGGCAGTTTCTTAAAAAGTTAAACATGGCTGGGTGCGGTGGCTCACACCTGTAATCCCAGCACTTCAGGAGGCTGAGGCAGGCAGATCATGAGGTCAAGAGATCGAACCATCCTGGCCAACATAGTGAAACCCTGTCTCTAATAAAAATACAAAAATTAGCTGGGTGTGGTGGTGCACCCTGTAGTCCCAGCTACTCAGGAGGCTGAGGCAGGAGAATCGCTTGAACCTGGGAGGTGGAGGTTGTGGTGAGCCAAGATCATGCCACTGCACTCCAGCCTGGCCACAGAGTGAGACTCCGTCTCAAAAAAATAAAAAAAAGTTAAACATAAATTTACCATATGACCCAGCAATGCCACTCTTGGGCATGTACCCAAGAGAAATAAAAACATACGTTCACACAAAAATTTTCATACCAATGTTCATTGCAGCACTGTCCATAATAGCAAAAAACAGGGGAAAATTCCAAATGTCTGTGAACTGGTGAATGGATCAACAAAATGTGGTACATCCATACAATGGAATATGATTTGTCAATAAATGACACATGTTACAATACGGAAGAATCTCAAAAACATGTTAAGTGAAAGAAGTCAGACAAAAGATTACACGTTGTGTAGTTCTACTAATATAAAATGTCCAGGGCAGGCAAGTCTATACATGGAAATAAAATTACTGGTTGCCTGGGGCTGGGGGTGGAAACAGGGAGTGACTGTAAATGGGCACAAGAAATCTTTTTGGGAGATGGAAATGTTCTAAATTAGATTGCAGTAATGATTTCTCAACTCTGCAAATTTATTCAAAATCATTGAATTGTACACTTAAAATGAGATAATTTGCTAGTATATAAATTGCACTGCAATAAAGCCGTTAAAAAATAATCATGTCAGTTTCAGCATGATGAATTTGAGATGTTTAGGAGGCCCTCAGAAGGAGAGGGTTTGGGTAAGCAGGTGGTTATACTACCTGAAGCTTAGGAGAAATTGCTGCACAGGAAATAGAGACTTTTAAGACTCATCCATCAACACAAAGGTTGTAATTATAACCATGAGAGAGAAGGGAATTACGCAGGGAATACAGACAAAAAATGAGAACCGAATCAAGGCCAACTCCAACATTCAAGGAATCCAGAAGAAAAGATAAGCCTATAAAGAAAACTGAGAAGCAGTGAGAGAAACAGAAAGAAAAGCCTGGTGACTATGAATTGACAGAAGCCAAGGGAGGAGGATATTTGGGGAGGTTAAAGTGGCAAGTGATACTTAATGAGAAGGATCAAAGAGAAAAAAAGCATGGTAGAAAAATCCAGCTGGTTATAGGGCAGCCCAATAACATTGCTGGGCATAGCTCCAGGGGCTGCAAGCCCTCAGGGTCAAGGCCATACCCAGCACAGCCTGGCAGGAAGAGTGAAGTGCTGATGGAGGGTGTGAAGCTGGATTGAAGAGCTGAAAGAGTGCAGAAGATTCAGAATTTTTTGCATAAGGCAATGAGGGGATACAAAGAGCCAGGGGATAGAGTTCTGGGATGGGGATGAAGAAGCCACAGAGGGCAAAGCCTTCATGACTTGAGAACAAATGGCCAGAACTACAGACTCCAACAGTGGGCATTCATGGCCCTCAAAGATGTGCCTCTGCTTGCCTCTCCAGGCTTCTTACTGTGTAACCCCACCTTGTAAAATTCAGTTATCCAGCCACATGGAACTGTTCATAGTTTCCCAAACATGACTTTCTCTTTCACACCTCTTTCTATTTTCCCACACAGCTTCCTGTGCAAAGAATGTTCTACAAACTAGCCCTCCCCTCTCCCCACACACTCCTGAACCCAACTCAATGCTCACTGTTATCATTCTTCATTTCCTGGAACATTCCTGCTCATATTTCAACATGGATCAAAATGAACAACTTCCTGGAAGCAGCTCCTGCTGGCCCGTCCCACATGTAGAATGGGCTACTCCCTTCATTATGCCCCTACTGTAGACTTCCATTAGCGCACTGGTAATGTCTTACACATTTCATTTATTTCCACGTCTTCTTCTTCTAGGGCATGGAGAGCATTTCAATGGTGTTTTTATTCATAGTACCTGACCAACAGTAAATACCTAACTAAATAAATGTTAGTAGATGATTCCTCCACCCAGCTACCATGTGGTATGTACCTCTTTTGCCTTTTTGGGCTGTTTGTGGCCAGGATGCTGGGCTCCACTTTGGTAAAGGTAGACCAGATGGCTATCAGTAGGCATGGTCCAGAATGTTTTGTCCACACCTGAGACCATTTCTCAGGTTCTTAAAGCCCACTGCCACTTCTAAGCTTTTCAAATTAAACACAGTTCACCCAGTTAAATCCAAATTTCAGATAAACAATGAATGATTAATGGTTTTGTTTTTTCCTTTTTTTTTTTTTTTTTTTTTTTTTTTTTTGAGATGAGGGTCTTGCTATGTTTCCCAAGCTGATCTCAAACTCCTAGCCACAAGTGATCCTCTCTTTGGCCTCCCCAGTGGCTGGGATTACAGCCAAGAGCCACCAAACCTGGCTTGAATCATGTTTTAGTGTAAGTATGTTCCTTTCAAGACATCTTTCCTTCAATAGTTTAGGAATATTTCTTTCAACAGTTTATCCCATCTTGATAGGTAGACAGCTTAGATAGAGGATAGGTAGATAAGATAGATAGATTAGATAGATAGATAGATAGATAGATAGATAGATAGATAGATAGATAGATAGGAAGGACAGACAGACAGGCATCCTTAAAATAACTATTTGTCATTTATCTGAAATTCAGATTTAACTGTATTTGTCATTTATCTGAAATTCAGATTTAACTGGGCATTCTGTATTTCTATTTGCTAAATCTGGCAACCCTATGTCCCACCAGGGGCAAGTGACTTCCTTCTAATGCTGACATCCCTGGAACCTTGAGATGCCCACCTGGCTGGGGCTGTGGTGTCACCCTAGCGTGCTTCCTGAAAGTTGGGCTGGCCAACCAAGAAAAAACACAAGATGGGCCAAAGCCCTGTGGTGGTCATGCTGAGGTCAGTCCTCTCAGCTGTGTGGGGCTCTCCCACTGCTCCCCATGCTGCCAATGTTTCAACAGACCTTCCATTGAATAACTTTGTTTAGTTCTTACATGGCCCCCTCTCTCTTCTATGCTCAGATGTGAATCCACAGGAGCTAGGCAAGAGAGAAAACCTGAAAAACTACAACTACAACATGCTTAGAACTGTCTACTTAGATCATGCCCTTAAAACATAAAAACAACAGAATTTTTTTGATTATAAAAAGAACTCTTTGCATCTCCATCTCCACTGGGGGCAGGGATCAGACCATGCTCGTGACCTCGTGAGGGTCTCTTCTTTCCTAGAAGGCCCTTGGCTCTCCCAGGCAAATAGATTCCAGGTATTCTACCCTCTCAGTCCCCTACCACAAGCTACACGTGCCAGGCAGTAACAGGAAAGCACACAGAGGGCAATTTATCCCATGCCTACTTCATTCTCCCAGATCCACGATTCCGTTAGCTAAAAAATAGAATAAATCTGTCCATTGAGATTGACATGAAGGATTGACAAATGAGAACTTCTCCCCTCGTTAGACACACACATGAGGGAGGAGAACAGGAGGAAGGGAAGGAGGAGGGAGTCTGTTACTGGACAAAATTGCATGAAATGATAGTTCTTTCTATAGACAGGAAAAGATCTTGGCAGCTGTGAGTTCTGAGGAACTGGGGTGAGAATGGGGGTGGGGGTGGCAAGAAAGGGAGAATCTTATGCGTTATTGTATTAGTTCATTTTCACACTGCTGATAAAGACATACCTGAAACTGGGAACAAAAGAGGTTTAGCTGGATTACAGTTCCACTTGGCTGGGGAGGCCTCAGAATCATGGTGGTAGCCACAAGGCACTTCTTACATGGCAGCAGTAAGAGTAAAATGAGAAAGAAGCAAAAGCAGAAACCCCTGATAAACCCATCAGATCAAGAGAGTAGCAGGGGAAAGACTGGCCCCCATGATTCAATTACCTCCCCCAGGTACCTCCCCCAACACGTGGGAATTCTGGGAGACACAATTCAAGCTGAGATTTGGGTAAGGACACAGTCAAACCATATCATTCCACCCCTGGCCCCTCCAAATCTCATGTCCTCACATTTCAAAACCAATCATGCCTTCCCAACAGTCCCCCAAAGTTTTAACTCATTTCAGCATTAACCCAAAAGTCCACAGTCTAAAAGTCTCATCGGAGACAAGGCAA